>NW_021159998.1:0-254759 GCF_000001405.40 Homo sapiens | reverse complement strand
CCTCATGAAAATGAGAAGAGAAAAGTTATGCACATGCACGAAAGACTGACTGAAGTGTTATCAGGCAAAGGTAAAGAAGGAAAAATCAAAGTGCTGATCTTAACGTCAGAATAAAATTAAAGTAAAAATATTGAAGGAGTCATTTTACATTCATAAAGTAGATACTCTTCAGTGAAAACATCACATTCTCTTTCTGAATTACTTAGTTCTCAAAAATATAAAGCAAAAATGATTAGAAATAAAGGGAGACATCAACAGAAGGCATGTATGGTGAAGAAATCTTCACGTCTTTCTCAGCCTTTCAGGGATTCACTAAATTAAGACAAGTAGGCTCTATTGTTGAATTATTTGAATAATTAATAAATTTGAATAAATAAGTATATAGAAAACTTTGTCATCTACAAATAGCACATTTCTTATATAATATTAAATGATGTACTCGGCTAAAATAACCGAAAACACCAAAACCAAGCCAACCTCGGTTGTGTCAAATGCAAATATAACGCATTCTACCTCTTCAAAGTAGAGTGCAATCAGAGTAGGCTCGGTGTGAAAATGCCTCATCCACTAGAAATTAAGAAGCACTTGGTTAAACAACAGTTGGATTAAGGAGCTAATTAAGATGTAATTTTAGGCTTTTTAATGAATATTCTAAGTGTAGCAAAAGTCAATGCAGATTCTTAAATGTTTTCATTATTAAATAAAAATATTACATTGAATTAATTAATCATTGAACTAACAGAAGTGCACAAGCATAGATACATGTTTTTATTTATAATTCAAACACCAACCTTTAGCAAAACAGAAAGGAAGAAAAAAAGGCCAAAGCAAAAACGAATACTTCTTAAAATCCAGAGAACCAATAAATGAATCAAATATCTAATTTGGGGGTGAAAAGAAAATCACAACACATGAAATAAAATCAAAGAATTTGGGCAGTGGGGTAGGAGAAGGAACACCACCCATAAAACAATTCATTGATAAATTGAATTTTGCTAAAATTTAAAACTTTCAAAAGACACTGTGAAAAGAATGAAAAGACAAGCCATAAACTGGGATAAAATCTTTGTGAGCATATATCTGAGAAGGGACTTGTATCTAGAATGTATAAAGAACTTTCCAAACCCAGCCATACAGACGTCAGTGAAAAAGCTAGAGTAGGGAACCCTGAATCCATCTGTCTTCAAAAGCAACGAACAAACCAGCAAAAACAATCAGAACCAACTTTCTTAGAACTCTGCACACTAATCAAAGCTTGCAGCCGCCAGGGGAGTGCGTAATCAGGAAAACACAGCTGAATCTCAGTAAGGAAGCTTTGTGGCCTTTTCACTTACCCTGGGCCCATCCACCACTCACCAGCTTGAGGCCTTGAAGACAACAGCACACATTCCCAGCACAGGCGTCTAGCACCAGCAGAGGAGGGGACAGACTTTAGGATGCAGTTGTGTTGCAGGAAAGGGGTCCCGATCCAGACCCCCACAGAAGGTTCGTGGATCTCATGCAAGAAAGAATTCAGGGCAGGCCCATAGAGTAAACTGAAAACAAGTTTATTAGGAAAGTAAAGTTTATTAAGAAAATAATGGCTACTCCATAGACAGAGCAGGCCCGAGGGCCACTGGTTGCCCATTTTTATGGTTATTTCTTGATGCTATGTTGCACAAAGGGTGGATTATTCATGCCTCCCCTGTTTAGACCCTTTAGGGGAACTTCCTGACATCAGCCATGGTATTTATAAACTGTCACAGCGCTGGTGGGAGTGTAGCCATGAGGACGACCAGAGGTCTCTCTCACCACCATCTTGGTTTTGGTGGGTTTCAGCCAGCTCCTTCACTGCAACCTGTTTTATCAGCAAGGTCTTTATGACCTGTATCTTGTGCCCACCTCCCATGTCTCATCCTGTGACTTAGAATGCCTTAACCATCTAGGAATGCAGCCCAGTAGGTCTCAACCCCATTTTAGCCAGCTCCTGTTCAAGATGGGGTTGCCCTGGCTCAAATGCCTCTGACAATCGCTGTGGCTCCTGGATGGACAGCCTCAAAGGGCTTGCCTTTCCTTCACGTAACTGGGAGCTCTTAAGTGTCTCCCTATAGGGCATTTGTTGAAACATTTAAAGTCAAATGTATTAGTCACTACTGCCTGGGGCAAGGGATAACCATTGGGGCAAACAATAGATTAACCATAAAGCTTGGGAGGAAAGACTGGGGATTGAGATGCTTTGGAGGATACAGATTTTGAGGGTTTTTGCATATTCTTTGGAATCTAGAAGTCCAGGCGCATACCCAGGAGCGTGTACAAGTTCAGAAAAGACCTGAGAAGGCTCTACATGATCACTTCTGGCTGACCTTCAGCTTCTGGACAAGCAGGAAATGAAGGCTAAGGCAGAGTTGAAAATTGCCTCAGTGTTGAAGGCGTGCCCCTGAACACACACAGAGCCCCCCATTCAGAGATTGGGAGGTATATTACCCATGTGTGTGCTGTGTTTCAAGTGTTTAAAGAAACCTCTTGTCAATGATATTTTACAGAAACCTCTGTAAAATATTTGAAGAGATTTATTCTGAGCCAAAAATGAGTGACAGTGGCCCATGACACAGCCCTCCAGAGGTCCTGAGAACATGTACCCAAGGTGATCATGTGCCCAAGGTGAGTGGCTGCTCCATCACACCGGCTGCAGCAGGCAGGCACAGCTGGGCTGCACACCCCAGGTAGCTGGTGGGAGCCTTCCCTCCTGGGTGGGGCTACAGCCACCCAAACTGCAGCTGTGATTCCGAGCCTCTCTGTCCTCTTGGAAGGGTCAGGAGCAGGCAGGATCTGCCTGCCTGGGCGCAGTGGGAGGGAGGGAGCCTTCTTGGGCCCCAGAGGGTACAGGCTGTAGAGATGCCCAGGGCCTGTGCCTTGGAGGGTGGCTGCAGCTGCACCTGGGGAGCTCCTGCCCCACCCACTCAGAAGGGGCAGGGACCCTGCTAGTCCGTGGCTCCTGCCTGCTCTGTAGAGTGGGAGGCCCAGGTCTGCAGTCACGGTCCCTGCAGGCTCCGGTATCTGCTTCCACTGCCTGGCCTCTCTCTGCTCTGGGTGCCTGTTCTGATCTCGGAGTGGGGTTGGGGCTGAGCCCCAGGGACCACGAATGGCAGCAGGAGGCAGATTGATTCCTGGGTGGAAGGGGCGGGTCCCCAGTAAGGCCCCACCTTCAGCCAGGGAGACCCTGAAGGCTGGAGGCTGGGCTGTCGGCCCCCTGGACTGGAGTGGGGACCCATAGTGCTTCTTCCAGGCCCACCCACGGCCACCCATAGACCAATAATCATACACTTGCCCCCTCTGAGGTCCATACAAGCCCTGGGTTCAGCCAGAGCAGGGCAGAGGACGACCAGAGGACAAAGAGGGCAGAGCGACTCTGGAACAACCAGCTGCAGAGAGGAGCCACCCTCTCCAGGGCCTCTTCTCCACTGAGAGCTGCAGATATCGGGATGACCAGTTGCAGAGAGAAACTACCCCAGGGCCTCCTGTCTGCTGAGAACTGAGCACTCAATGGATGACCTGCCTACAGAGAGGAGCTACCCTCTCCAGGGCCTCGTCTCTGATGAGAGCTGAGCACTCAATGGATGACCTGCCTACAGACAGGAGCTACCCACAGAGGGTCTCCGCTGAGCTGATGTAATACTCAGTAAACCTCCTCTTCATTTTGTTCACCCTCCACTTGTCTGCATACCTCATTCTCCCTGGATGCAGGACGAGACCTCGGGCAAAGGGGCCACCAGCCACAGAAGTTTCTGGGAAGAAAACTGACACCTCAAAGAGTCCCTAACACTTGGTTTTATACATTTTGGGGAGGCATGAGACAGCAATTGAATACATTTGAGAAATACATTGGTTTGGCCAGAAAGGCAGGACAATTCAAAGGGGGTCCTCAGGGGCTTCCAGGCTATAGCTAAATTTAAACATTTTCTGGTTGACAGTTGGTTGAGTTTGTCTAAAGACCTGGGATCCACAGAAAGGAAATATTCAGGTTAAGATAAAAGATTGTGGAGACCACGGTTTTTTTGGAGTCTCATAATGGCTGCCCTTAGAGACAATCAATGACAAATGTTTCCTATTCAGACATTTACAAGGTGCTAGGCTCTCAGTTAATCTCTTCAGGATTGGGAGGGCCTGGAAGAAAAAGATCTAGCTATGTTACTAGAGAGTCTCTACAGATGCAAGATGTTCCCCCACAAAGGACGGCTTTGCACGGCCATTTCAGAAACATGTTTTGGGGTAAACAATTTTTATTTTCTTCTTTGCCACATAATGTAATGCTAGAGTCAGACTGGAAAGTAAGCCATGATACACAGGGTTAAATAAAACCCATCTGATGAGAATTTATGGTTTGTAGGGCATGATACCCCAGGTCCCTTAGACAGAAATACGGGCAAGATAAGAAAAAGCCAGAGCTTAGTCCTCGCTCTGTGGAATCATTAGCTGAGAGTGAACTCACAGAACAGAGACTTCACTGACCACACACAGCATAGAACACAGACTTCATAAAATTCACTCAGAAAAGTCACTAAATAAACAGAAATACTAAAAATAAGCAGCAACAAAATAAACTGAAACCAAAAAAACTACATAAGCAGCAATCCGTTGGTTCCAATTGTTTTTGCCAGTTTATTCATTGCTTTTATGAACAGATGGATTTTGGAGTTCCCTGCTCCAAATGTGGGGAGAGAGGAGATTTTCATAGCTGCTACATCATAATATTCCAAATGTCTACTTTTCAGCAAAAAATTACAAGGCATGCAAAGAAACAAGAAACTATGGCCCATAGATGCTAAAGGAAAAGAAAAAAAGATCAACTGAACCTCTCTCAGAAGAAGCAGACACATTAGACGAAGACTTTAATCAACTATTTAAAGTATGTTTAGGAGCTAAAAGAAACAGTGGGTGATAACAGAAAAACTTCAACTGAATTAAATTTAAAGAGTTTAATTGAACAATGAATGATTCACACATCAGGCAGCCCCCAGAATCACAGCAGATTCAAAGAGGCTCCAGTGCAGCCACGTGGTGGAAGAAGATTTATAGATAAAAAAAAGGGAAGAGAGGTACAGAAATCAGAAGTAAGGTACAGAATGGCTGGATCGGTCACAGCTTGGTGTTTGCCTTATTTGAACACAGTTTGAACACTCAGCAGTGTGTGAGTGGTTGAACTATGGCTGCTGGAATTGGCCAAGACTCAGCTATTGTTACAGGTGCAGATTCCTAAGTTAGGTTTTCAATCTTATCTACCTGTTAAGCTAGGTTGCAGTTCATCCACAAGTACTCAAATATAGAAGTATGGAGTCCTTCTCAGGCCATATTTAATTGGGTTTAACATGGGCAAAGAAAGAAAACCAGGAGAATAATGTTTGAACAAATAGAGAATTTCAATAAAGAGATAGAAATTATGAAAATTACCTGGCTGGGTGCGGTGGCTCACCCCTGTAATCCCAGCACTTCGGGAGGCCGAGGCGGGCAGATCACGAAGTCAGGAGATCGAGACTATCCTGGTTAACATGGTGAAACCGTGTCTTTACTAAAAATACAAAAATTAGCCGAGTGTGGTGGCGGGCACCTGTAGTCCCAGCTACTCGGGAGGCTGAGGCGGGAGAATGGCATGAACCTGGGAGGCAGAGCTTGCAGTGAGCTGAGATCACACCACTGCACTCCAGCCTGGGTGACAGAGTGAGACTCGACTCCATCTCAAAAAAAAAAAAAAAGAAGAAATTATGAAAATTACCCAAACAGAATTTTTAGAGATGAAAACTAAAATAACTGAGATGAAAATTTCACTAGAGAGGTTCAATGGCAGATTTGAGCAGGCAGAAAAAGAAAATTAGTGACTTGAAGACAAGTCAATTGAGATTATCCAGTTTGAGGATCAGAAAGAAAAATGAATAAAGAAAAATGAGCAAAGCCGGAGAGATCTGTGGGCCCTGACGAGCCCCTAACTGTGCATAATAGGAGACCCAGAAGGAGAGGAGAGTGAGGAAGGGACAGAGGATACCTGAAGAAATAATGGCCAAAAAGTCACAAATGAGATGAAATACATAACTCTACACATCCGAGAAGCTCAGTGAATTCCAAGTAAGGTCAACTCAGAGATCCTCACGAAGTTGTCAAAGGCCATCGAGTACTGAAAGCAGAGAGAGAAATGCCTCGCGGCCTGAGTGGGTCTGTGGTTTGGTCCCTTATGGCCACATGGTGGCTCTTTCTGTCATGTGGAGTCATTCTTATTTTTTATCAAGAGCTTACAATGTGGTCGACGTGGTTGGGCTATGCCAGTGAACAATAATCGTAGTAAAAAACCTGCCCTGTCTTCCATCTTCATGGGCTTAGGTTCTATCGGAGGAGACAAATTATTGACCAAAAGGTGACTAAAATGATAATCTAGGTGAGAAAAGTACTACGGGGAAAGAAACATAGCAGGGTCATGGGTCCAGGGTGTGTGTGCCTGGGTGTGTGTGTGCACACGAGTGTGTGGGTGGTCATGGGCTGGCCACAGCAGTCTCCCTGTGTGTCTGGGTGTGTGTGTGCACGCATGGGTGTGTGGGTGGTCACGGGCTGGTCACAGTAGGCTCCCCCATGAGATGACATCTATGCACAGACCCAAAAGAGGGGACGCACCAGCCATGCGAGGCTGAGGGAGGCACAGGGCAGAGGGCTGTGCGGGTGAATGCCCACTGACCGAGAAGCAGCCAGGCCTGGGGCTGAAGGAGAACCCGTGAGAGGAAGAGAAGCAGGATGATCTTAGCACGTGGACCGAGGCCACCTGCAGAGGACCCCGAAGGCCTTTGTGAGGACTCTGCCTTGCCCTCGTGTGGGATGGGGATGGTGCGTGAAGGAGAGGGGGTGTGATCTGCTCACACATTTACGGGTCCCTTGGACTGCGAGCTGAGGAGGGGCTCTTGTGAGGGTCACTGTGCAGGCCGCTGGGATTCAGAACCAGGAGGCGACTTCTGTGTCTGGGAACGTGCACGGTGGGGGCGTGGAGGGAGGGGCTCTTGTGAGGGTCACTGTGCAGGCCACTGGGACTCAGAACCAGGAGGTGACTTCGGTGTCTGGGAACGTGCACAGTGGGGGCGTGGAGGGAGGGGCTGTTCTTCCATCTCCAGAAGTGGAGCTCAGCACGTGAGGGGTGCTGGGGGAGGAGAAGAGTCAGGGGAGTTGTTACTGATGATGAGGGAAGGCTGCGTGGGGAGAACCTTCTGTGGGGGAGAGTGCGGGATCAGCTTCGGCGGAATTTGGGATGTCCAGCAGCCATCCCAGGGAGAGGAAATCTGGGATGCAGGCACGTGGACTTGGGAAGTGTTTCTGGAGTGCTCCCTCCCCGCTCCTCCCTGCAGGGGCCTCAGGTGCCGCTCCTCCTCCACATCCTCAGCCGTGCTCCCTCCCTGCTCCTCCCTGCAGGGGTCTGAGACGCCACTCCTCCTCCTCCACATCCTCAGCCGTGCTCCCTCCCCGCTCCTCCCTGCAGGGGCCTCAGATGCTGTCCCTCCTCCACATCATCAGCCGTGCTCCCTCCCCACTCCTCCCTGCAGGGGACTCAGATGCTGTCCCTCCTCCACATCCTCAGCCGTGCTCCCTCCTCGCTCCCCCCTGCAGGGGCCTCAGATGCTGCTCCTCCTCCACATCCTCAGCCTCTGCCTGGGAGGAGAGGGGAATGGGCGGGCAGGAGCTGACCCCGTCCCTAAACAGGGCCCTGAGTTGTGCGTACACATCTTTTCCTCCAGACAATTCATGAAGGCGGTGCACACTCTCTTATACCCACCAAAAAGTGTAAAGAACAGTGCAGTGAACACCCACAAATGCTTCAGCTCCTAAATCCGCCAGTCATGAACATCTTGACTCACTTACTTCACAGAAGAGCGGAGTTTGCATAAAATGTATTTTTTCTAATTATACTCTGTGGGTGAAATTCCATCCCCGAGCCAAATTTAGACATCTTCTTGAACTCCTGGTGAGCATTTTTTTTGCTGAAACATTTCAAAGTGAGCTGCAGATGCCATTACACTTCATCCTGAAGGCCTCAGCCTGCCTCTCCCAAGGACAAGCACGCTCTCCTCCATGGACACAGCGCCAGGCCCAGGAAATGGGATGTCAACACAATCTTATCACTGACATAGAGCCCATAGGCAAATCTGTCCAGTTATTTCCAAAATATCCTTTGAAATATCCTTCTGTTTTTATTTTTATTTATTTATTTTTTAAGACAGGGTCACCCAGGCTGGAGTGCAGTGGTGCAATCATAGCTCACAGCAGCCTCCAAGTCCTAGTCTCCAGGGCTCCTCCCACCTCAGCCTCCTGAGTAGCTGGGACCACAGGTGTGCACCACCGTGCATGGCTAATTTTCTAATTTTTGGGGGAGATGGGGGTCTTGCTATGTTGCCCAGGCTGGTCTCCAACTCCTGGTCTCAAGCAATCCTCCTGCCTCTGCCTATGAAAGTTATTAGCATATTTGTAGATCCAAGTATTCACAGATCACATATTATACTGATCGTTATATCAGTTTGTTCTCCTCTAATCTAAAACATGCCCCCAACTTTGTGTGTGTGTGTTTTGTTGTTGTTGTTTGTTCTTTAAGCAGGAAACTCCATTTGCAGACTTTCAAACTTTCACTGAGAGGAATTAAAGAATGAACGAATTTCACCCAGGCTGAGCTGACCTTGAGGAATTGTGGCACAGGTCTCTGGGAATGACGGTGGCAGCTGGCCAGCCTGGGTGGCCGTGGGAGGTTCTGCCTCCAGGCCAGAGGGCAGGAGAGGCCGCTGGGGTTGGGGAGGCTGGAGGTGGGGGAAGATGTCCTCGTTCACTCTGCCAGAAACTTAGGGAAGGCAGAGGTGGGCTTGCCTCCTTACAGAAACTTCTGACAGGTCCCAGATTACACAGTGGGAACTTCCCTAGTGCCTGGGAGGCAGACACCCCAGCCCCAACCCATGCGGAACTCACAAAGGGTGTTTGGATGACCAGACCATGACTCTGGGCCCCTTGGCCAGCTGAAGCTGGAGCTGGCAGGAGGTCTGAGAGATGGCCCGGGTACCACTGTGGGTGTCCTCGTTCTCACTTCTGGTCCCTGTGGGGATCAGGCCCAGAGGCCCCGACTTACAGCTAAGAAAGATGGGCGAAGCCGGGCACAGTGGCTCATGTCTATAATCCCAGCACTTTGGGAGGCCAAGGCTGGCAGATCACAAGGTCAGGAGTTCGAGACCAGCCTGACCAGCATGATGAAACCCCATCTGTACTAAAGATACAAAAAATCTGCCAGGTGTGGTGGTGGTGGATGCCTGTAATCCCAGCTACTCGGGAGGCTGAGGCAAGAGAATTGTTTGAACCCGGGAGGTGGAGGTTGCAGTGAGCCGGGATCGTGGCACTGGACTCCAGCCTGGGCGACAGAGTGAGACTCTGTCTCAAAAATAAATAAATAAACAGAAAGAAAGAAAGGTGGGCGAGGAGAGGGTGGCTTTGCCATGGTTGCCCCTTGCAGGTTCCACGGACAGCTGCTGGGCGAATGTTTCCCATGGACGCCATGTGGCAGAGGAAGGACAGGAGAGGGCCAGGAGAGTGGCCAGCAGTGAGAGGCCAAGGGTGAGCTCTGGGCTCCCCGGGCTAAGACGGGCTGCCGCGGCCACCAGGAATGGAGGGGGTCTCTGTGAGCCATTGGGCAAGGAGAGGTGCAAAGAGCTAGCACATGACTCCAGGAGAAAGGAAGGTCTCCAGAAACCTCCAGAACCATACCACAGAGGCGATGACCCCAGGAAAGAGGAGGGTCTCCAGACACCTCCGGGACCAGACCGAGGAGGAGATGACCCCAGATGAGAGGAGGGTCCCCAAACCCCTCTGGGACCAGACCGAGGAGGAGATGACCCCAGATGAGAGGAGGGTACCCAAACCCCTCTGGGACCAGACCAAGGAGGAGATGACCCCAGATGAGAGGAGGGTCTCCAGACACCTCCGGGACCAGACCCAGGAGGAGATGACCCCAGATGAGAGGAGGGTCCCGAAACCCCTCCGGGACCAGACCAAGGAGGAGGTGACCCCAGATGAGAGGAGGGTCTCCAGACACCTCCGGGACCAGACCGAGGAGGAGATGACCCCAGATGAGAGGAGGGTCCCGAAACCCCTCCGGGACCAGACCAAGGAGGAGGTGACCCTAGATGAGAGGAGGGTCTTCATGCACTGCTGACCTGATTGTGGAGGCAGCTTCAAGGTTCTACTCAGCACCCCTGGCCCCCTCCCTGCCTTTCCCACCAGCGAAGCAAGCCGGGCCATGGAAGGAGGGCGGAGAATGGAGAAATCCCCTGCAGCCTAAGCCTCAGGAGGGAGCGACTGAGTCCAGGGTCAAGGGCAGAGCTTTGAGTCATGTCTTGGACTCAGCAGTCTCATGAATTGAGGCTGCGGCACGGAGGTCAGTGACCTGCTCTGACTGTGGGGATTCAGGGCCCGCTGAGCCGTCCTCCAGCAGCCAGGAAGGCGTAAAGGAGACAGGAGGAGAGCGTAAAGGAGACAGGAGGAGGGCGTAATGGAGACAGGAGGAGGGCGTAATGGAGACAGGAGGAGAGCGTAAAGGAGACAGGAGGAGGGCGTAATGGAGACAGGAGGAGAGCGTAAAGGAGACAGGAGGAGGGCGTAAAGGAGACAGGAGGAGAGCGTAAAGGAGACAGGAGGAGAGCGTAAAGGAGACAGGAGGAGAGTGTAATGGAGACAGGAAGAGAACCTCCGTTTTGTGCACTCCAGAGACTTGCCGAATGTCCTCCAGTGGTCCCGGTTGTCGCCAATAAAGTCTGAAGCCTACGGCTTTCGTGCACTTGCCCTGACCTGCTGGCGTGTCCCAGGACGGCATCCTCCTAGGACAGAGCCTGTCTTGCTCCCCATCCCATCCCCAGCATCAAGGGCATTTGTAACATAGTAGGTGCTCAGTAAACATGTGTTGAGTTTATAGACACTCAAATGTATCTCTCATTGATTGCAGGATTTCTGCACGTGGCCAATACATAAACACAGGGTCAGGCAGAACATGCAGGGCCTCAGGACTGTGCAGGTTTGAGCTGTGGCCTTCGGCCTGGGATGTAGGGAGTGAGGCTCTGTTTATGTTCATATTCTTTGAGGTGTGGCTGAGGGAAAGTTGGATTTGTTCTTCAGGGCAGGGTTCTCAGCCACCCTGGCTGGTGTGTAGCTTTTCCTCCGAAATAAGGATTTCTGTGCCTTGGGGGACACCAATCATGGCCTTTTACTTCCCGAAAATCTGGAAGGCACCATAGCCATGAGTTACAATAAATGTTTCTTGCTGTTTAGACAGATAGCACCTCTTTAGGAAATCTGCCCTGGATGACAGCTGCGATTCGCAGTTAATTTGTGTCTCTGCCACATTCATATCTAAACACCTTTGAGTTTTTGTATCTAATGCACGCTGTCTCTTCTAAATGAGATGATGGTCTACTCCGAATGGGGAGTGGCACTTGCTATCCTCGTTAAGACTCACAGCACGCTTAAAAACAAAACGGACTGAGCTATGAAAGGGAGAGAAAATTCATCTGGATTGGAAGACAGTAGTGAGTTAAATGTGTGCCCCCAACATTCATGTCCTCCCAGAACCTCAGAACATGATCTTATTTATAAAACGGGGTTGGACACGGTGGCTCATGCCTGGAATCCCAGCATTTTGGGGAGGCTGAGGCAGGAGGATCACTTGAAGCCAGGAGTTTGAGACCAATTTGAGCAGCACAGAAAGACTCCATCTCTATAAAAAATTGAAAAATTGGCTGGGTGGGGTGGTGTGCACCTGAAACCATCCTCCCAGATGAAACGTCTGAGCCGCGTCAGGACAGGAATTAACAAAGTGAAGGGGTTGGGCAGGCGCAGAGCTCCAGGGGGCAGCCATGCAAAGGCCCCAAGGCGCCATGCATGCAGGGGGCTTCGGAGGCTCTGGAAGGCCGGTGGGGGGGCAGCAACAGCTCCCGCTGCCCTCCAGGGCAATTCCAGGCTTCCGGTTCCACGTTTAAGGGAGGTGTCGTAGGTGTGTTGGTGTGCAGGGTACTGAATTTGCACAGTGTTCTTTCAGAATGGACGTACAGGAGAAGAACCCGGTTACCTGGCAGGAGTTATGGAGTTGCCAGGACTGAGCTGGTCCTGGGGAGGCAGGAGCAGGAGATGCACAAGCTCCATGTGGCCTGGGCTCTGGGCCGGGCTGAGGGAGGCGGTGGGGCCATGCTGACCCTGGGCGCTGAGGACAAGGCACCTGCTTCTCGGCTGGGGCCGCCGCTCACGCGGACGCTGGTTCTTGCTCTTCCCCGGCTGTCCTCTAGGTGACGCACGCGGACCAGACATGAGCAGGTGTCCCGGGAACCTGCGCTCACCTGCGGACCTGCGGGTCCCTCCAGCTCACAGGATGGCCGAGCCCTGGGACCCACGGAGATGGGCGGGGCAGGCGCTCTGGGAAGGGGCCGGCTGGCCGGAGCCCCCCACAGTAGCCTAGCTGGGTGGCCGACCTGGGCAACCTAGGCTAGGGTATGGCTGGTACGGGCCCAGCGGGCACCGCCACGCCCAGACCCCACACAGCAGCAGCCCTGGGGCTCTCCTAATTCCTCTCCCACTTTTCCCAGGAGAGGAATTTTACTTCAGGACAAGCTGCGAGGGCAGGAGCAAATGCCTCCCCTTCTGGAGGACGCCCTCCCAGCAGGCGGCCGGCTACAAGCCCCTTCTTCCAAATGCAGGCGCCCTTCCCCTGTCACTGAAAGGGTCAGCAGAGCCCTCTGTGCACAGGAAGATGTCCGCATCCCCCACACACTGGGAGCTGGAACTCTGCTCCTCAGACAATCGCTTGGTCTGGGCCCATCCATCTTCCTCGCCCCTCTCAGGCCCACCTGGGCAGGCAGAGGCTTCTGGAACCTTCTCTTGTCGTCTGCCCTGGTGAAGGCCCTCCTGGGGGACAGTGGCTTGGGGGTTCTGTGGAACGGACTGGCTGCAGGCCAGGTGTGCCGAGGGTGTCTGTGCAGTCAGGGTACTCCGGGGAGGTCCCCCCAGGAGGTGGGGAAGGGCTGAGCCGTGAGTCCCAAAAGGACAGCCTGGGAGCCCCTGCATCCAGGACCCTCGGTAGCTGAAGGCCTCTGCCCCCAACCTCTGTACTTGGGCTTGGGGACCTGGCCCGGGAATCTGCATATGGAGCTCACTCCCAGGTGAGGACGGCGCAGGTGCCTCCAGGGAGCTCCCTGGGAGGGCCAGGAACCCTGCCCTTCTGTGACGTGGTCTCGGGCCAGGCAGTGTCCTGTGTTGAGAGCAGGCTTCTGCAACCGGACTCGGCTGTGGGCTGTGGGCTGGGGTGGGCCGTGTCCTCTGTGTCCAGAGCAGGCTTCTGCAGCCGGACTCGGCTGTGGGCTGTGGGCTGGGGTGGGCCGTGTCCTCTGTGTTCAGAGCAGGCTTCTGCAGCTGGGCTGGGCTGTGGGCTGTGGGCTGGGGTGGGCTGTGTCCTCTGTGTTCAGAGCAGGCTTCTGCATCCTGGCTGGGCTGTGCCCACCACCCGCATTCCCCAGCAGCCTGTTCTTCAGATCTTGTCCCATGGCCCTAGAGGGCCAGGCCACACACGAATCCCCATTCATATATTTATTTATTTCTTCATTCATTTACTTTAATTCAGAGAAAAGTGGTGCCCACCTTCAGCTCTGTGGTCTCTGCCAGGTGCGCGGCCCCGATGGCTCAGGGGCGGGGGTCCCAGCGCCAGGCAGAAGCCCCCCTTGTGAGCCACTCCCTTCCTGACTCTCAATTCTGTGAAGTGAAATCCCAGGTTTTCCCCTGGTTTGTAAAAAATCATGTTTGAATTTCAACCCCCACGCTTCTCGTCGGCCTCTCTGGCAAGACACTGTCCTACTTGCGGACAAAGTGGCAGCTTAGTGCTCCGTGGGAAGCAGCCTGCACCAAGGGAAAGAACTTAATTGAAAGCCCTTTTTCTTCATTTTGTTCCTCAGCCCTTGGTCTCATCCCCCCGCCCCCTCTCTGCACCACCTGTTTCTGCGGGTGGGTGGCTTTGCATGCAGCATGGGTGTTAACGGGTAGGTGGGAAGAGGGCGGCTGTCCGGGCGGGGTCCACATGCAGGCACTATCCGTATTGAGCTCCAGAAAGTCGACCCACTGTCTAAGCCCCGGTTTACACAACTATGACGTGGGCACACGGGGCCACAATTCCTACCCCCGAGTAACTGTGAGGAGCAAAGCAGGTAAAAGATGAACTCAGGTCTCACTGTGGGTGTGCACCAGGGCTGCCGTGGGGCTGGGCTGACCCCTCCCCAGGAGGCTGTCAGCTCTGGCCCGGCTAGTGGGTGTCAAACTGCATTCTGACTTTGTATCAAACCAGTGAATAGTGCTTAAAAAGTCTGAAATAGCACCGCAATCATGAAACCCAGCAGGCCCTGCCCCTCCTGCCCCTCCTACCCCTCCTGCCCCTGGCAAAGACCCAGAGAAAATCACCTTCCTTGTTTTGCTGGGCGTGTTTGGTTTTTGTATTTACCTCCGTGTTTCCAAATAACAGGCTTACGTCACAGCTCAACATCTCCCCACTCAAACACTCCCTTCCCCAATACGGTGATATCGCCTTCTTCTTCTTGATGGAAAAATGACGTTGGGTGCTCCTGTTACGATGTGTCTGTGGCCGCACTCAAGGCTGAGCCACGGCGTCCTGGCCGTGCCAGGATCTCCACCTCTTCCCCTGGCTTGTTCTTCTGGGCGGGCACCCGCCCCTCTCTGCAGGGTCCTCTTGCTCCTGTCTCCATGTCCCCCTCGGGGCTCCTCTCGTCAGCACCCCGGGGCCTCTGCCGCCCCACTGTGCCCCATTCCTCCTTCTCCTCGATGCACATCCTGGTTTCGGGTGCATGGGCCATGAGCCGTGTCTAAATCCTGTGTGTGGAACATGACTTCATCCCCTCACCCCTGTGCTTTTGCGGGGAGGTCCGTTCGCTCGGCATCCGGAAGGGACGGCTCCACCCCACAGTCCCAGCCCTGAAGTTCCTTCAGGCCGTCCTGGCCTTTCTGCTGACCTTCCTTTTATTCTGCTGGAAACCGGGACTATTTATTTACTTTTAACTATTAGTTTTTCCTTTTTTCTTCTTTTGAGACACAGTCTCATCCTGTCGCCCAGGCTGGAGTGCAGTGGTGCAATCGTAGCTCACGGCAGCCTCGAACTCCTGTGCTCCAGTGAGCCTCCTGCTTTAGACTCTGGGGCAGCTGGGACTACAGGTGTGAGCCACTGTGTCTGGCTAATTTTTGTATTTTTTGTAGAGATGGAGGGGGTGGGTCTCACTGTGTTGCCCAGGCTGGTCTCGAACTCCTGGGCTCAAGGAATCCTCCTGCCTCAGACTCCCAAAGTGCTGGGATTACAGGCGTGCGCCACTGTGCCCGGCCCTGGGGCTATTTCACGTGGAAGTTCATGTCCTTCAGCTCAGGTCAACCCTCTTCTTCCATTTCCTCACTTCCTCTTCTCTGTCCTGTGCCCGCTGCTGGTCGGCGCTGGGGCTGCTGCCGCTTCCTCTTCTCTGTCCTGTGCCCGCTGCTGGTCGGCGCTGGGGCTGCTGCGGCTTCCTCTTCTCTGTCCTGTGCCCGCTGCTGGTCGGCACTGGGGCTGCTGCCGCTTCCTCTTCTCTGTCCTGTGCCCCCTGCTGGTTGGCACTGGAGCTGCAGCCGCTTCCTCTTCTCTGTCCTGTGCCCCCTGCTGGTTGGCACTGGAGCTGCAGCCGCTTCCTCTTCTCTGTCCTGTGCCCGCTGCTGGTCGGCGCTGGGGCTGCTGCGGCTTCCTCTTCTCTGTCCTGTGCCCCCTGCTGGTCGGCGCTGGGGCTGTAGCCGCTTCCTCTTCTCTGTCCTGTGCCCCCTGCTGGTCGGCGCTGGGGCTGCTGCGGCTTCCTCTTCTCTGTCCTGTGCCCCCTGCTGGTCGGCGCTGGGGCTGCAGCCGCTTCCTCTTCTCTGTCCTGTGCCCGCTGCTGGTCGGCGCTGGGGCTGCTGCGGCTTCCTCTTCTCTGTCCTGTGCCCCCTGCTGGTTGGCGCTGGGGCTGCAGCCGCTTCCTCTTCTCTGTCCTGTGCCCGCTGCTGGTCGGCGCTGGGGCTGCTGCGGCTTCCTCTTCTCTGTCCTGTGCCCCCTGCTGGTTGGCACTGGAGCTGCAGCCGCTTCCTCTTCTCTGTCCTGTGCCCGCTGCTGGTCGGCACTGGGGCTGCTGTGGCTTCCTCTTCTCTGTCCTGTGCCCGCTGCTGGTCGGCGCTGGGGCTGCAGCCGCTTCCTCTTCTCTGTCCTGTGCCCGCTGCTGGTCGGCACTGGGGCTGCTGCGGCTTCCTCTTCTCTGTCCTGTGCCCGCTGCTGGTCGGCGCTGGGGCTGCAGCCGCTTCCTCTTCTCTGTCCTGTGCCCCCTGCTGGTCGGCGCTGGAGCTGCTGCGGCTTCCTCTTCTCTGTCCTGTGCCCCCTGCTGGTCGGCGCTGGGGCTGCTGCGGCTTCCTCTTCTCTGTCCTGTGCCCCCTGCTGGTCGGCGCTGGGGCTGCTGCCGCTTCCTCTTCTCTGTCCTGTGCCCCCTGCTGGTCGGCGCTGGGGCTGCTGCCGCTTCCTCTTCTCTGTCCTGTGCCCCCTGCTGGTTGGCACTGGGGCTGCTGCTGGGGCCTCAGTGGCTTTGTTTTCTCATTTTCCAGCCACTGGTCTCCCTCGCTGCTCTCTCGGAGCTTCCTCAGTCTCGTGTCCTGTTCTTTCTGTCGAGGCTTCATCCTGTTTGATTTCTCCACCCACGCTGGTGCACGAGAGCCCCTCCTGTTCCCTGGACCTCACGCCATCCCCAGCCACCCCACACCCTCCTCGTTCGTCCACTCTCTGCTGTCTCTGCATCTCTGCTGTCTCTGCATCTCTGCATCTCTGCTCTCAGCACAGTCTCCACACCATGTGTTTCCCTGTGGCTTTGTGTCTCTCATGCCAAAGGCTCTCACACGCATGATGGTTCTTGTGTGTCCTTCCATAGTGGACAGCAAGGGTCGTCTGCTCTGTCTGGACCATCAGCCCCACCCTTGCTGCCCCTCCACTTACCCAGACTCCAGCCGTGCATGAGCTGTCATAGGCCTCGTGCGCACCCTCCTCCCTTCGCTGTGGCTCCACGTTCCAGCTCCTTGCTGGCAGCACCATGTTTTATACCCAGCCCCGCTGTCATCTGGTGCCTGCAGGGACACCACACGCCTCCTCCCTGCCCCTCTGGGTCTTCCTTCAACACCCCACAGTGAAGGGTGCCCCATGCCGTGGCTGAAGTCAGATCCTGGAGGTCACACTTTCTCCTTCTCTTCTCCACACTTCCAGCCCTGCAGCAGGTCCTGCTGGTCTCTCCCAGGCCCTGGAATCTGCACACTTTTCCTCCCCTGTGGTTGCTACCCTGGCGGTGGTGGCCGGATGATGGCGACAGCTGCTTCTGCACAGAGCACTCCCCTCTATCAGTCCAGACTCCGGGGCATGTCTGTTTAAACACTAACTTAATTCTATCATGGCTGTGGGTCTTGACATTGGCACTGTTGGGCCAGCCCCACGCGGCAGGGTGGGCACGGCCGCTGCATTTCTCCACCTGCGCCTCCGGCCCTGCTCCTGGCATCACTGCCTCCCGTCCTTCATGGGGCCCCTTGAAGCCCCTCCTGGAGGCTGCCTGCATGAGTCCGCTCAGGATGCCGTGACAGCACCATGGACAGATGGGGTGGCTTCAACCACAGACAGTCCCAGAGGCTGGAGTCCGAGGTCACTGCACGGCAGGGCTGGTTCCTCCAGGCCTCTCTGTGGCTCGTGGATGTCATCCTCTCCGTGTCCTCACGGGGCCGTCCCTGTGTCTCCTCTCCTCATAAGGGCTCTTGTCAGATTGGACCGGGACCACCCGAACCCTCCCGCCACTTAATCACCTCTTTTGGTTCAGTCCCAAACAGAGAGAGACATGGGGGGGCCGGCTCCAGCCAGTGGATGAAGGGGCCACAGCACCTCCCTGGCTGCCCCACACGCAATGTCTGCCTGGCGCATCCTCTGCCCTTGCCGACTTCCTTGCCATGTGCAGGGCCCTGTTTGTGACCCATCTGTGCATTTACTGTGCGTCTCCCGCTGCTCTGCAAGGCGGCGGTGATGAGGACAGAGCTGAGTCTCTCAGGCCCCGCTGCACCCAGCCTGGCACAGCTCAAATGGGTGTCAGGGACTTTGTGGAACGGACAGGTGAGTGGATGCAGAGGCTCTTAGAAGAGGGGGCCACAGTGACCGGCCCCACAGCTGATTTCTTAGGGCTCCTGGGCCGTGTGACGCTGGGCAGGTGGTAGCCAGCATGCTGGCTCCTGCCTCTGCCCCTCACATGGTGCCAGCAGGGGAGATGCTGGCCTGGGAGCCCAGCCCCATCTCTGCAGCCCCGAGGCCAGCAGTGGGAAGGGGCTGGCACCCTTCACGGTGCCCCTCACTCACCACAGCCCCGGGGCAGCTGCCCCACGCATGGCTGCCCAGTCCTGCTGGAACACTGGAAGCTGCCCATGCCAGGGCTACAGACAGGGGCTGCCCTCGGGGCCGCCGCAGCTTTGGGTCGCGGCCCCAGCCTCTGAGAGCAACCCAGGACGGACCGCCCTGCCTTGGAGGTGGGGCCCCACCTGGCCTGTTTGCACCAGGGCTTGGCAGGCAGCCCCCTCCGACCCCAGCAGGCCTCGGGTCCAGGCCACCTTGAATGCCGACTCCTGGCCATGCCTGGTTCCAGGACTGGTTTTTCTTTGGAGAGGGGGTGGACAGGCAGCCACACACCAGGGTGTGAGGGACCCGCCCCGTGAGGCCGACACACATCTGCTGTACCTTTATTGCACTTTTATGACATTGCAAACTATTCCACAAAACTCTGCAAAGGTCAGCCCACAGCTGCGCACAGCCAGCCCTGCAGGATGCACTTGCACCAACCGTCCACAGCCAAGTCCGAGGTGGGTGCTGCAGGCCAGCGGGCGGACTCGCAGGACGCCTGGTCATCGGGTCCTCCAAAACCACGTAGGCATCCGTCCACCAGCGCACAGGCCAGACGTCCAGCGAGAGCCTCCTCCCGTCCTCAGACGAGACCCTCCAGCCCTCCAGGAGCCGAGGCCCCAGGAAGGAGAAAGGGTTTTTACTTGAATTAGGTCCCGAGTGTGAGAGCACTTGAGGGGTGAGCTTGGCCTTGAGGGGCCCCCAGAACCAGGGAGGGCGGTCCTCGTGTTTGGTTTGGTAGGTGATTGGCATCTGTGTACACGTCTCTGTTTATATACTTATTCATCAAATATAAATACAAAATAGTAAATAAAGGCTCCTTTCCCTACAGAAAGGATGGAATGCCTCCGGCGCCGGCCGCCTCTGTCCGTGAGCACAGACAGCGCTTCCTTCCCAAGCTTTTCTGGTCAAACACTGACAAAATGTGTCCTATGAGACCTGGGGAGCCTCGCCTCCTGTGGCAGCAGCTCCCGACTCCGGATGATCCCGTCCTGCCTCTGAATTCACTGAATTCACGACGGGCGCATGCGCTTGCTGGGAGGTCCGGCGCCTCTGTCTCCGTCCCGGGCAGCGCAGCGGCCGGCGGACACTACCTCGCCGAGGCGGCTCTGTGCTCAGTGTCCAGGTCGTCATCCACCACGCTGTGGAGCCCGTTCCTCTCCACGCAGTCCCGGACGGCCTTTAGCACGACGCGGAGCCGCCGGTCCAGGGCCTCCAGGTGCGGCTGGTACAGCACGGGTGCCACCTGGTCCCCCCGCAGAGACTCGGCCATCAGCAGGCTCAGCTTGTACTCCTCCTTGGCCAGGAGCTGCAGACGCAGGTAGGTGGACTTCCGGATCCTGGGGAGGAGAGGGGCATCAGGCCTGGCACGGGACAGGGGAGATGCCTGCCCACGGGAAAGCGAGAGAAAGTGAGAGGGAGATCGAGAGAGTGGGGGGAGAGACAGAGAGAGAAAGAGGGGGACAGAGACAGAGAGAAAAAGACAGAGACATACACAGAGAAAGAGAGACACAGAGAGAAAGAGAGGGAGAGAGAAAGGCAGACAGACAGAGACAGACAGACAGAAAGAGACACAGATAAAGAGAAACAGGCAGACCGAGACAGAGAGAGAGACAGAGACAGACACAGATAGAGACGGCAGAGACGAGAGAGACCGCGAGAGAGGGGCCTGCGATCCAACACCTCATCAGCCTCCGGGCTGTGTGACCTGCTTCGGCGTGGTCTGCCGCCTCTCACCTGCACAAGGGATGAGGGTGCCCTTGCAGGATGTGGTGGCCGGTGTATTTCCCAGAGGGGCCCGGCAGGAGGATGGGGAGGTGAGGAGGGCGGCCCGCTCACCCAGGAGGATGGGGAGGTGAGGAGGGCGGCCCACTCACCCAGGAGACCGACCCCAGCTCAGCACATCCGCACAACACGGGCGCTGTGATGCCTCCTTAGAGAAGTACAAAGCGTTTGCCCTGCAAGCCTGCGTCCCCAGCCATGAAACGGGGGAAAGGGGGTCTGAACCCCCGCAGAAGGTGGCAGTGGCAGAGACCGGCAGCTGCGTGCGGGAGCAGGGTCCCTGTGTCTCAGCTGGCGTCTGCCCTGGCCTCGAGCTCTCTCTGTAACTGGGGTGGCAGGACGGACACAGAGTGGAGGCCCGAGGGGGCTCGAGCTGGATGGGCCTGGGGTGGTGGGCGGGTGAGGTCTGCGCCTCCAGGCCGCCGAGTGAGGGTGTGGGTTGAATTCAGGGCTGTGGTTGAATTCGGGGCCTTTTCTCTCCCATGTGATGGCCGGGGTGGGGTGGGGAAGGCTGTGGCCTCCTCTGTCTCCTGCGCAGTAGGGAGGAGGGTGGAGCTGGAGCCGGCTCCGGCAGGGGCTGTACCTGCAGCACTGCTGTAGCGGCACCAGGATGGAGAGCTCGTCGTGCGAATACTTCCCAAACCTTCCAGAAGAAAAGCAGAATTGTCAAGGGCCCCTGTACAAGGTTCCTAACAGGCTGCTGGGCTGGGAGCTGGGCCATGGGTCCACCTGCCTGTACCCGACACCCCAGGCAGTGGGTCCACCCAGCCCATCTCCAGCACCCCGGGCAGTGGGTCCATCCCACCCATCTCCAGCACCCCAGGCAGTGGGTCCATCCCACCCATCTCCAGCACCCCAGGCAGTGGGTCCACCCCACCCATCTCCAGCATCCCGGGCAGTGGGTCCACCCTGCCCATCTCCAGCACCTCAGGCAGTGGGTCCACCCTGCCCATCTCCAGCACCCCGGGCAGTGGGTCCATCCCACCCATCTCCAGCACCCCAGGCAGTGGGTCCACCCTGCCTATCTCCAGCACCTCAGGCAGTGGGTCCACCCCACCCATCTCCAGCACCCCAGTCAGTGGGTCCACCCTGCCTATCTCCAGCACCTCAGGCAGTGGGTCCACCCTGCCTATCTCCAGCACCCCAGTCAGTGGGTCCACCCCGCCTATCTCCAACACCCCGGGCAGTGGGTCCACCCAGCCCCATCTCCAGCACCCCAGGCAGTGGGTCCACACTGCCTATCTCCAGCACCCGGGCAGTGGGTCCACCCAGCCCCATCTCCAGCACCCCAGGCAGTGGGTCCACACTGCCTATCTCCAGCACCTCAGGCAGTGGGTCCACCCCGGGCATCTCCAGCACCCCAGGCAGTGTGTCCACCCAGCCCATCTCCAGCATCCTGGGCAGTGGGTCCACCCAGCCCCATCTCCAGCACCCCAGGCAGTGGGTCCACCCTGCCCATCTCCAGCACCCCGGGCAGTGGGTCCACCCAGCCCATCTCCAGCACCCCGGGCAGTGGGTCCACCCTGCCCATCTCCAGCACCCCAGGCAGTGGGTCCACCCCGCCTGTCCCCAGCCCTGTATGTGGGGTCCTGGCCTCTGGCCTGGGGAAGGGTCCTGGGCAGCCGAGTTGAGATGGCTCCAGGGAGCGTCAGCCCACAGTTTAGCTATTGAAGTGCCCAAAGTCCATCTCTCTGAGGCCTCCGAGCCTGGGAATGGACGTCCTCCTGCCCGAGTTACTCGCCTCCATGCTTTGCTTATTAGGGGTCACCCTCCCTGGTAACCAGGGTCTCACAGCGCCGCCCAAGACCCCCCGTGGCAGGCCAGCAGCGGCCGCAGAGGCCGCCTATCCCCCGCTGGCTGGCTCCAGGTACCGCGTGCAGGCAGAGGCCCATCTATTCTGCACGGTCCTGCTCTTCCTACCAGCAGCCTCTCCTGGCCTCCGTTTCCCAGGTAACACCAGCTCTGCCGGGACTTGGTCTGCAGCATTCCTGTGCCTCGGAGGTCCCACTCCCGGGGCGGCCCTCCCTCCTGGTTGGGGCCTGGGGCCGCCCTCTGCATCTGGCTCTGAGATGGGCCTTTGCGACATTCCCATCCCTCCACTGGAGGGTCTGCTCCCCCCGTCCCCAGGGTCTCAGGTGGGCTGCAGGTAGCTGGGAGGTGGCCGGCCCTTCCCTGGGTGTGCAGGGGCGAGGACAGGCTCACCCTCTTCCATTGTCTAAGTGGATGATGAACGTTTCATTCCCAAACTTCTCAAAAGTCTCGTAGTGGTGACGGTCCATGTTTCCTGCGGAGAGAGGCAGAAAGTGTCACAGCTCGTGGGGAGCCGGGCCACGTAGCTCAGAGGCCTCTGTGCTCTGCAGAGCGGCGTCTCCTCCTGCCAGCGTGACCTCTAAGCAATCTGGCCCCTTCACAGGCCACAGGACCGCAGCCGGGCCGTGCCACGGAGTGTGCCCTGCAGAGCCCTGCGTGCATCCGCTCCACGCAAGGCGAGTGACACGGGGACCCCGTGCCCCTGCGGGACGTACCCATGAGGAAGTCGAAGATCGTCATGTCCATGACGTCCAGGATGCGGTGGCTGCTGTCGTAGGGCGGTGTCTGCTTCACCTCCTCGCAGTAGTCAGGGTCCACCTCCCACCTGCGGGGAGCCAGCGTGAGACGGGGGGCCCAGGCCAGATTCTGGGGAGCCCGGCGCGTGCCATGAGGAGCAGAAGAGAAACACTGCGGCAGGGACCTTGGCGTCTGCAGATGGACCCGCCCGGGCTGCGGCGCTGAGGCTGCATTAGCGGGAGCACGGGTGTGGGAGGGGACGGAGCCGCTCTGCCCTGCCTCGGGGTGACCCCACCTGGAGCTGCCTTCACCTCTGGGCCCCGTGTTTTTTGCAGAGTCTCTGTGGGGAAACAGGACCTGGACTACACACTCACGAGGACAACGTGGGGCGGAAAGAACAGGGGCCGTTTCTCCCGCAGGAGTGAGGAGAGGGACGGGGCGAGAGCAGAGCTCAAACGCTGAGAGGCCCCGATTCGAGGGACCTGGTGGGCAGGCCGGCCCGGGTCAGGGAAGCACATGGAAATACTGGAGTAAGGACGCCCTCTGCCACCGTCTCATCAGGAAGCGGTCATCTCACACAGGCCAGCATCGCACAGCAGGCTCTGCACCCATCTCTGCCACCCCCGTGGGCGCCGACCCTCCCATGCCCGCCCAGGCCCAGCTCCCTCTGCCGTAGGGTGGCCGGACGCCAGCCCCCCGGCCCCGCACTCACTCGGCCTTCTTGCGCTTGTGGTAGGAACGCCGCCAAGGGTTCCGCCAGGTCTTCCTCTTGGCCAGGGACAGGTCGGGCAGGAAGGCCGCCAGCGAGCCCTCGATCTGGTCTGGCTTCCCGCACAGGGCGTGCTCCGTGGAGCAGTAGTAGGAACACTCGCCGTAGAAGCAGATGTTGTTGGCTGGGGAGGGACAGGCTGCGGGTTACCAGGGCCGCACAGGGCTGCGTCCTCACCTGTGGTCTCACGGCCCCCAAGGCCGGGCCGGGCTCTGCCTGGTGCTTCTCATGGGCAGGACTCACCCACAGTTCCCCATCAATCCCAGCAAACACCTCCACCCCACGGTACAGAAAAATGAACCCACAGAGCTGACGTCCCGAGGCCACACAGCTCCCCAGAGGCAGAGCCCGGCCTGAACCCTCGAAAATCAGGGGCTGGTCTATGGAAACCCTAGGGCCAACATTTAGTCTTTTAAAAAATGCATTCATATTGTCAAGAAAGTGAAGATACAATCCACAGAATGGTAGAAAACGTTTGCAAACCGCACATCTGAGGATCTAGCATTTAGAGTGTATGAAGAACTCTCATCACTCAATCACAAAAAGACAAAAAAAACTAATAAATGGGCAGAGGGCTTGAACAGCTGATTCTCCAAAGACGACCCTGATGGCCGACAAGCATGAGAAGAGACGGGCGCCATCGTGAGTCACCGGGGAGATGCAAATCAAAGCCACGGTGAGGCACCATCTCCTGTCTGCTGGGATGGCTTCCATCAAAAGAGCAGCTGCCGGCTGGGACGGGGGAACCGCCACCTCTGTGCGCTGCTGGCGGGGGGTGCACACGGCACAGCCACGGCGGAAACGGTCTGCAGCCCCCAACTGATTAAACACAGTGTTTCCACGTGACCCAGGAACTCCCCTCCCATGTAAACCCCTAAGAGAAGAGAAAACATTTCTATACAAAAACTCAGACACGAATGCTCACAGCAGCACCGCTCACCACAGCCGAAAAAGAGAGAATCCACCCAAATGTCCATCAAGAGAGGAGTGGACACGCCAGGTGAACATGGTCCATCCGTGCGATGACACGAAACGAAATGAAACAAGAAGAGGAATGAAGCCCTCACTGAACCCGAGAACCCTGTGCTCCGCGAAGGAGGCCAGACAGAGGAGGCCACACGTCGTATGACCCTCTTAATATGAAACGCCCAGAACAGGCAAATCCAGATAGACTGGGGGTGGGACGCTGCTCGTCGAGGGCTGCGGGGTGAGGAACGGTGACCGCCTGCTCATGGTACGGGGCTCCTTTTTGGGGTCAGCAGGACATTCTGGATTTAGACAGTGGTGATGGTTGCACACCATTGTGGATATACTAAAAACCACGGAACTGTACGCTTTTAAATGGTAAATTTTGTGGTACATGAATTATACCTTAATAAAGAAAGAATAATCAGAAAAATGCAAGCGCTGTCCAGGCCCGCTAGCAGTGCGGGTTCACTGCTCTGATGCTGGAGGCCCGGCCGACGGCGCTATTCCTGTATTTATTTGCTGATTAAATCTAGTTTTTCTTGCTTTATTTGTTTGTGGAGAAACTCTGGAAAGCCTGGGGCTGTAGAACTGGTGAGAACGTGGTTTTGTTGGGGCCGGAGCCCCGAACCTCACTCACAGCTCCCCCAGTCCCAGCATTCCTATGCAGCCAGGCTGAGTGATTCCAGGGGTCTCTCCTGGCTGCAGGGCAGGCTCCCCGTGGGATCAGAAGGCAGGTTCGGCAGGGCGCTTCCCAGCGGAGTGAACAGGAGGGTGGCCGGTCCCGGCTGCCCTTTCTTAGCTGAACAAGCTGAGGTTCGGAGAGGAAACGGGGTGGGTGCCAGGCCGACCTGGCCCCCACCACACCCCACGCACCCGGCAGGTCCCGGCTGGTCTGGTTCCAACGCCCCGATCACCTGCCTGCCCCCTCCTTCCCGCGCCCCCTCACCCCACTGCCAACGCTGGGTCATTATTGTAAGAACGAACGATCAAGGAAAGACCAGCTGCAATCCTGTCTCGTGCTGATACAGATTAGTCGGCAGCCCACAGTCGGACGAGGCAGCCCCCACCGGGGCAGGAGCTCCATTTCAGGAGGAAAATCTTCATCTGAGCGCTCATTGGCTGGAGGCTTAAAATTCGTCTGCTGTTAACAGCCTCCCGTCCTCGCCTAAGCCGGTTTCAGATGGTATCGTGTTAAAAGAGAAAGGCATTTCTCGGGCCCACAGCCATTTCTCTTTGCAGATCCAAATCGGGTATTAAAGGGGCCTCCCGGGCGGGGTTAGGAGGGCTTGGAGCTGTGTGACCTCAGGCAAGTGCCTCCCTGCTCTGTGCCCAGCCCCTCGCCCGGGAAGCGGGGGTCCCAGCAACGCCGGCATCACGGGCTGGGAATTACACAAAGAAGCCACGGGAGGCAGCTGTCCAGGTAACGAAGGCTGCCCTGCACTTGGAGTGGGGGCTTTCTGGGAGGAAGGAGCGTGAGTCCTTTTCCATTTTAGTAATAATAAAAGACACAAACAGCAAGGAGAAAGCCAGGGTAGCGGACAAACCCAGGAGAGATCCTGCCTCCTCCAGTCACCAGGAAATGGCATCACGGTTGGCCTCCCGGAGAGCGCAGACAGGCAAGAGTGTGGCTCCTGGCAAGGACGAAGATGGCTCCTTCACCCTGCGGCTCAAGCGTCTCCCACCATTCCTTTCGCTGACTGTGTCGGGGCTGACCCAGCAGGAGGAGCGTTTTGCAAGGCGGACGTCTGCCATCTGCCACCTTGGACAGCTGTGCCCTGGACAGCTGCGGGCCCGGCGGACACTGTTACTTAGGGCAGCGGCTCTGGGTGCCCGAACTGGGTCCATCGCTGGAAACGTGTCTCCTGCAACCTGCATTTAAGCTGGACGCAGCACTGGAGAGAGTCCTGAGGACCGCCCTGCCCAGCCCAGGCCACCGTGGCAGGAAAAAAGGCGAAGCGGATGATGGCAAAGCCCTTCTGTCCAGGCTGTGTCGGGCTGAGTGGCTTCCGGAGCTGCTGAGGACCTGGGCCTGGTCCTGGGGGCGCTCACCTTGCAGAAATGCAAAGCTGTGCACGGATGACCTGTGCACCTCTGGGACGTTTGCAACGTGCAGACGGTAACTTACGTGAGAAGTAGGGGAGTGTGTTCTGTGAGCGTTTGGGGCTTAGAAGATGTGGGCTCTGACTGCGGCCCGGCCCCTACACAGCTGTGCGGTGCTGGGGTCCTAATTGCCCTCTCTGAACCTGAGCTCCACAATCCCTACGTGGGGCAGGGGGCTGCCTGGGGCTCAGCCTCCTGCTTCTCCCTCCCAGAGCCCACCTTCCCCGAGCACTGGCCTTGGCCACCTCTCGCCCCCTCACCTTGTTCCTGGCTGATGGGATTTTCCCTTTTCTGATTGACCCCACGGGAGGGTCACTCAGGCCACGGGAGGCCGAGGGGGTGTCTGCAGTGGGCTCAGCCCTCCAATGTGCTCTGGGCTCCAGCAGGGCTTCCGAGACCACCTGGCATCCGTGGTTGGGAGGCCGAGGGGGTGTCTGCAGTGGGCTCAGCCCTCCAATGTGCTCTGGGCTCCAGCAGGGCCTCCGAGATGACCTGGCATCCTTGGTCGGAAGGCCGAGGGGGTGTCTACAGTGGGCTCAGCCCTCTGATGTGCCCTCGGCTCTGGCAGGGCCTCCGAGATGACCTGGCATCCTTGGTCGGGAGGCCGAGGGGGTGTCTACAGTGGGCTCAGCCCTCTGATGTGCCCTCGGCTCCGGCAGGGCCTCCGAGATGACCTGGCATCCTTGGTCGGGAGGCCGAGGGGGTGTCTACAGTGGGCTCAGCCCTCTGATGTGCCCTTGGCTCCGGCAGGGCCTCTGAGGTCACCTGGCATCTGTGGTTGGGAGACACATGCAAAGCAAAGTGGAGCAAACGAATCTGAACAGATTTTGTTCTCTAGGAGAGGAATCCGGGCTCCTGGGCCCCTGCTGCTTGAGAGAAAGTCAAATGCTCACAGAGGCTTCTGGAAGAAATCGGACTGACAGGGCAGCGCGGCTGGAGTGGCAGCAGTGGGGTTCCAGGGGCTGCGTTCAGGGGCGCCTGACAATGCTGGGCCTGGCTGCTCTGGGAGATTCAAGGACTCGTCTGTCCAGGCAGGGACATGGAACTGTTGGGGCCTCTGGTGGCCGAGGAAGTCTTGGATTTCAGGGGAGAAACTTGCGCTGCCCTGGAAAACGCAACTAATATCCAGAACCAGGAGTGGCCAGGGAAGCTGCTGGAGCGCTTAATAAAGTGCTGGCTCCAGGGAGACGTGAGAAGGGATTCCAGCAACGGCACCAAAGGTGGTCGATGGCCGCCTTGCAGCACAGAGCTCAGGGGCACTCCGGTGACCACCGTCCCTGGCCTGCTGAGGACCTGGGGATTCCAAGTGTCAGCCAACATGGGACATAGAGGTGACTTAATTCACCTGCTTGGACTAATAATCAACTCAGTCTTTTTTTTTTTTGAGACGGGGTCTCACTCTGTCACCCAGGCTGGAGTGCAGTGGTGCCCGATCATAGCTCACTGCAGCCTAGACCTGCTGGGCTCAAGCCATCCTCCTGCCTCAGCCTCCTGAGTTGCTGGAATCACAGATGCATGCCACCAGACCTGGCTAATTTTTCATTTTTTGTAGAGATGGGGTCTCGCTACGTTGTCCAGGCTGATCTTGAACTCCTGGGCTCAAGGGGTCCTCCCAGTACTGGGATTGCAGGCGTGTGAGCCACCGTGCCCGGCCACTCAGTGCAGGCGTGAGCCGCCGTGCCCGGCCACTCAGTGCAGCCGTGAGCCGCCGTGCCCGGCCACTCAGTGCAGGCGTGAGCCGCCGTGCCCGGCCACTCAGTAAGACCTTAGAAACGGGGAGGAAACGACCTGCCCCCACAGGCTCATTTTACAACAAAATGAGGAGTTCCGGAGATGCTGCTCTGAGCAGAGCCAGGCAGGGCATGTTCTCAGCATCAGTGGGCATCATTGACCCCTCCCTGCGTGACCCTGTGACCGTCTCTTTCAATCGGTCCTGAACCGAGAGCTTGGTCTGCAATGCAGAGAATGGAGTTTAAGCTGGAGGAATTCCCACAGTCACTGCATGGGGCGCTGGCACCTGAGGATGGGGAATGTCAGTCTTTGGAACCTTTGAAATACATCACCCTAAAAGTTGCAATAAAAATTGTAAAAAGACGTGGATAAGAAGCAGTCGGGCATCCAGGCATCACTGGAGCGGAGCCCAGCCTCCGTGGGCACCAGGGTGTGCATGGCGGGCTGCAGTGCGGTCAGTCCTGTGGACGGTGGGGCAGGAGGCGGTGGCTGGACAGTGCGGTCAGGGTCGACCCAAGGGCTGACAGCGGCCGGAGCTCAGGCGTGCTTAGGAAGCCCTGGACTCCCAGGGTGGGGAGGCGAGTTTCAGCCCCTTAAAAAAGATGGACAGCTCAAGCCATCCAAACAGGGACTGAATTGTCTGTGAGCCAATGCGTTCCCCATCACTGGAGGTGTGCCTGGCTCAGGCACAGCTGACCGGGGAGCCCTCAAAGACCCCCACGCTCAGGTTCTGCCTCTGCCCCGATTCCTGGTGTGTAGGGCCAGGCACCAGTGGGCCAGGGAAGGGAGCCCTTCTTCCCGCCTCTGTGGAGCTTTCTGTCCTATTTTTCTCTTATTAATGGGCTTTGAGAGGAAGAAAGCAAATGAGGATCTCGGTGAGCCCTGGCTGACGGAACGGAGCTTAATTAAATCATGGATTCGGGGGCCGGGTTCTGACAAATTCATGAATGCATTAAGAGAAAGCGCAGAGTCCGTACATCGATCTGAAACATCTGCAGGAAATGAGCTTTTAGGTCAAGGTTTTATGTGCCAGCAAATCTGAAGACGCAGCTAATCAGGGGCCCTAATTGGATTTTATCTGCATGAATTAAACAGATGGGCCAGGAGAGTGGCTGAGGCCCCCTACAGTGAGAGCCTCCGATCCGGAGGGCCCCTCCCCAGTGGGGACCTTGCTCTGCAGGGTTTCCTGGGGTGAGGGTCCCTTCATTCTGCAGGGCCCACCATCGCTGGGACCACTCTTGACCTTCAAGATGGAAACATAGGGGACCGAGTCCGGGACAGGTAGGAGAGTGTCCCCAGAGCTCAGCCAGGTGAGCATCGGAAATGGGAACAGGCTGTGCAGCAGGGGCCTGGTACCAGAGAGGCGCTTGGAGAGGAGGACTGAGCCCTCGGCAGAGCCACAAATGCCAGTTTCTTTTCTTTTCTTTTTTTTTGAGACAGGGTCTCACTCTGTTGCCCAGGCTGGAGTGCAGTGGTGCAACCCCCACTCACTGCAGCCGCCACCTCCTGGGCTCAAGCAATCCTCCTGCCTCAGCCTCCTGAGTAGCTGGGACCACAGATAAGCGCCACCACGGCTGGCTAATTTTTTAATTTCCTGTAGACAGGGGTCTCACCACGTTGCCCAGTCTGGTCTCAAACTCCTGAAATCAAGTGATCCTCCCACCTTGGCTTCCCAAAATGCTGAGATTACAGGCGTGAGCCACCACGCCCAGCCCAAATGTCAGGTTTAAAGCAACCTGGGTAGATAATTAAGTAGAAAATCATGTGTTTATGTGTGCGCTGTACTTATCACGTAGAGTCTTGAAGGTTTTATAAACCTCAGCACCAACAAAGACATCTATTCCTGCCTAACGTTCAGGCCATCCTGTATCCCCTCAAGGGCACCAGGGACCAGGGGCCTGGGCCAGCCCTGCTCACAGTCCAGCCACTTCGCCGAGGCGGGGGAGGCCGCCCACCCTGTTACTATACAACGGGGGTCCTGCTGAGTGTGTTTAAGTCCGAGTGGGGAGGTCCCATGGATGTTTGCTGGCTGGGCCACCTGGAGAAGGCTTCCTGGAGAGGCTAGGACCTCCCAAAAGTGAATCGTTTCACCAGTTAAAATAAACAAAGAAATGGAAGAAACAGTCTCTCTGTGCACAGAAGGACATTGGTTAAACCCTGATGGTGGCACCTTGAAGCTGTCCGTGGGCTGGCACTCCGGGTGTGGAAGGAGGCACAGGGCACCCCTGCGTGGGAGGTGGGTTGGGAACAGCACTGTGAGTCAGCACCCTGGTGTGGAAGGGGGCACAGGGCACGTGCCAGGCTACCTGGAGAGATGAATGCGGGCCCCCGTGCCAGGCTACGTGGAGAGATGAATGCGGGCCCCTGTGCCAGGCTACCTGGCGAGATGAATGTGGTCTCCCCGTGCCAGGCTACCTGGGGAGGTGAATGTGGGCTCCCCATGCCAGGCTACCTGGAGAGATGAATGCGGGCCCCCGTGCCAGGCTACCTGGAGAGGTGAATGTGGGCCCCCGTGCCAGGCTACCTGGCGAGATGAATGTGGGCTCCCCGTGCCAGGCTACCTGAAGAGATGAATGCGGCCCCCCGTGCCAGGCTACCTGGAGAGGTGAATGTGGGCCCCCGTGCCAGGCTACCTGGCGAGATGAATGTGGGCTCCCCGTGCCAGGCTACCTGGAGAGATGAATGCGGGCCCCCGTGCCAGGCTACCTGGAGAGATGAATGCGGGCCCCCGTGCCAGGCTACCTGGAGAGATGAAGAAGGTCCTCCAGAGCTTCTTGTCCCGTGTGACGTCCCGGATCTCCTTGGTCATGTTGACCATCCTGCCGGCCACGGGAGGGACCCGGCGGAAGTCCAGGATCCTGGCAAGAAACGGGCGGGGAATGGTCTGTGCTCTGTGCGGCTCAGCGGGCCTCTGTGTCCCTGCCTCCAAATAAGAACGGGGCAGGGGAGGGTCTGTGCTCTGTGCGGCTCAGCGGGCCTCTGTGTCCCTGCCTCCGAATAAACCCAGCCCTAGGTCCGGTGGCTCTGCCTGGCCCCACGGTGATGGGGGTGGGAGAGGCCCCTGAGGGACTGGGGCTGGCGATGCCTCACTGATGGGCACACAGCACCAACTGCCTGCATAGCTAAAGCCTGCCCTCATTCCAGGGCTAAATTTAAAACAAAATTAAATTAAAGGAGCCACTTTTAATGGAACTCCTTCTGAACCACACCACAGGCTCCCACTCGCTTAATTAAATGGAGAATGCAGGGCGAGAGCTTTTCTTGCTGACGGAGGACGTGGTGATTGTCCTGTGAGGCGAGGTGACCAGGTGTGGAGGGACGTGGGCCGTCTGCCAGGGCCGACCCGGGACCCAAGGCCCGACCACGCCTCTGCGTGGAGCACCCTCCCCCTCCACCTGTCAGACGGCTCGCCTGGGTGCTGGGCTCTGTGTCCTGTTTTATAAACAGGTGGACCCGAGGGGGGCTGTTTCCTAATGACCCTCCCCGTCTTTCTTTTCATAAAAAGCCCTTTTTGGGTTCAGGCTGTTCTAGATAGCTGAAATGGTGGAAAATCTGGCTTCTGGCGATTTCTATAGTCACCACAGAAGACTTTGATCTTTAAAAAAGCCCTTTAAACTCCAATGTACGCCCGCGTCACTAGGGATCTTGTTAAAATGCAGATTCTGTCCCAGGTCTGGGTGGAGCCCAGGACTCTGCATTCCAACTAGCCCAGGGCAACCCCAATGCTGCCGGCCCTGGGGCCGCACCCCAGGCTGGGACGTGTCAGGGCCGTGCAGGGCAGGCAGGGAGGCTCTGGGGGCTGAGGGTGGCGCCTCCTCCCTCCACTGCACCAGGGCAAGGTCCTTCAATCCACGGGGCCCCTCTGGACCTGGGCCAGGCCCGTTTACTGCCCTTGGAGGGCACTGAACACGGACCCCCCACTTTCCCAGCAGCAGGGCCAAGCTGACCCTCACAAGGGGTTCACTTTCTGCTGGGCTGGGGCGGCCCCTCTGGAGACAGGCGACCGTGGGGCCTCCCAGGCCCCCTCATCACAAACATCGCTTCCCCCTCCTTAGGAAGCCTGCTTTGGTCTCCCAGAGAAGCCTGTGCTCTGTGAGTCTCTGTGTTAAGATTCGCAGCACTTAATACTCCCCCTTCCCTCCCTGCCTCCTTCCCTCTTTCCTTTTCCTCTATTACCGACCGCACAGCAGCTTCTGTGCCTCCCATCTGCCTGAACTGTGGGGGTGCAGGAGGGGCCCATCTGGATTAAGGTGCCCTGAGGGCAGGCGCCCTCTCCCTCGGTGACAGAGGGATGATTAGGAGCGTGGGAACCTGGGCAAATCGCCGCTCACAGAGCCTCAGTTTCTCATCTGTAAAGGGGGATATGAAAGGCTCTCCCTACCGCGTGTTGTGTGGGCTACGATGACACAGAGGGCCCTGCTCAGGGCAGCACTCGGGGTGGGGGGAGAGCAGGCACCGGCGCTGCCTGATGGTGACAAAGGTGACGATGACATACAGGACCCTGCTCAGGGCAGCACTCGGGGTGGGGGGAGAGCAGGCACCGGCGCTGCCTGATGGTGACGAAGGTGACGATGACGTCCTGCTGTGTCCAGTGCAGGACGGCCTCACTCACCGGTGGGTCTGAGCGCACGGGAGCGCGGATGGAGGGAGGAAGGAAGGGCTCACCTGTCCAGGTGGAAGGCAGCAATCTCCGCATTGTGCCTCTCGTAGTCAGAGAAATAAAAAAAGTCAGGGGGTGTCTCCTGCTCCCTCGTTTGTCTGAGAAAACAAGACAGAAACAGAAACGGTTTGTCACTGAGAAAGCCTCCAGGGGCCGGAGGCAGGCGGGACGTGCTGGGTTCCTCATATGAAAAATGCGGTGGAGCTCCAGCCTCCTCAGGGCCACCCTGAGCCTTCGGGACCCTGGGCACCCAGCTGCCGACGGGCCCTCAGAGCAGCGCAGGCACGTGCGACGGAGGCCGGGGGTCCCAGCTCCCCGTGGCCCTGACCCAGCTGCCGACGGGCCCTCAGAGCAGCGCAGGCCCTTGCGACGGAGGCCGGAGGTCCCAGCTCCCCATGGGCCCTTCTCAGGTAAGCTGCTCAAAGGCCTCTCCTGCACTGGCTGGGGGCCCCGGCACGTCCACCCTGGGACCCACAGTCACACCGCAGGGGAGAGGCTGGGCTCGGTGTCCCAGGCCTGGCTCAGCCCCGGTTTGCTGTGTGCACCCTGGCACCGCCCACCCTCTGGTTTCCGAGTCTCCCCCACGGCCTCCAGGACCCCTTGGCTCTGCCGTGGACGCCTCCCACAGTAAGAGCCCAAGAAGGGCAATGTGGGCACCGCCCTGTCCCTCCACCCTGGCCAAGGGACAGGAGGCCACAGGTGGGGCTGTTTATGAAAGGTCAGTGCCATTCTGTAAACACCATAGGGCTCCTGTATCTCAGGCCAATACTCCAGGGGAAGGGGAGCCTAGCCGCAGGGCCCTGTGAGGTGCCGGTCCACGCAAGTGTTTGACCGATGTGGTCATGGTGGAAACGTGGAGGAATTGTCAAGGTCGTGTCTGAGCATAAGTGTGTAAGCGCGTAAGCGTGTAAGCGTGTAAGCATGCTTCCTCCACCAAGGCCGGCCCCTGCCATGCTTCCCCCACCAAGGCCGGCCCCTGCCTCCACTGGAGGGAGAGCCTGTCCCAGGGCGTCCACCCAGGCCAGGCCCAGGGAGGGAACTCAGCCTCCAACCCAGGCTTCCTCCACCAAGGCTGGCCCCTGCCTCCACTGGAAGGAGAGCCCGTCCCAGGATGTCCTCCCATGCCAGGCCCAGGGAGGGAACTCAGCCCCCAATCCAGGAAGAATTTACCAGATTCAAACTCTGGTGACCTTTCCAGGTGCTGGAAACCAGAGCTGGCGGGAATCCCCAGCTCGCACGCCCTGCAGCCCACACCTCCCACTCAGGGCAGACTGTGTTCCGTCTGGGCTCCAACACTCCAGCAATGCAGACTACAGACGCCGCCCCGGTCACTTTCCCAGCCCTCGGCTTCCCCGGCCGGGTCCTTCCTTCCATATACGCAGCGGAGGTCCGCCCAACTCCTGGGAGCATCCTGGCCCTGCCACGGGCCGACATCATCGCCACACGAACAGCGGGGTGGGGCACAGGTCCTGTATGTCATGTCCACGTCCCTTCGGGGGGACCACGTCTGGGTCACAGGCCGTCAATTACACACCAGCCCGTGGCTCCCGTCCTCCCACGCTGTTCTCAGAAAGCTGTGGCCACAATTCTCCGTGTTCCCGGAACGTTTCTTATGGGGGGTTAAAGATGTGTACCACCCACGGCCTTTTTAAGAACTAGTCTCTGCTGCTAGAAACTCTGAGAACAGACCACTTTCCACGATCCCACATAATATTCGCCTTGACAGGGCCCTGGGTAGGCGCAAGGCCAGATGAGGATTCCAGGAGCTACTTAAAAATAAAATGCGGATGGTGGGCTGGCGCCTGAAGGTCACATTTGCTTCATAACCCCACTGGGTCTGTGGCCATTGCTATCTCTGTGCACTTCTGAAACCAGCAGCAAAGGAGGGTTGGGGTGCAGGGCAGGGCAGTGGCAGGTATGGCGGCAAACTGAACATGCTGCCCGCCAGGGTCGCCCTGCAGAGCCGAGGCCCAGACTGGCCGGGATCCTGAGGTTCAAGAGAAAGAATCTAGACCTTGTGGAATCTCCCGGGTTTTAAGCGCTGGCAAATGGATTTCATTTTTCTAAAACACTAAAGGTCAAACCAAATGGTCCGCTGCAGTCAGCCCGCAGTTCCAGGGGTGGTAAATTCTGGAGTGTTGGATATTTTTGAGGTTAAAAAGCCTTCGTTGTTTTCAACTTGGAAGGATTGGCTTTGAGCAAAACTCATTCCACAGAACACTAGTTCTACTAGATTTTAGTAACTTTCAGCTGGAAAAAGGGAACTCCAGATGGAGGCAAGATTTCTTTTCTGTAAACTTCGAGCCTTACGTCTGCACAGTGACTCCCCAGAACGGCCCAGCATGAGTCCAGGAGTTCAAGACCAGCCTGGGCAACATAGTGAGACCCCAGGTCTACGAAAAATAAAAAAATCAGCTGGGCGTGGTGGCACACACCTGTGATCCCAGCTACGCGGGAGGCTGAGATGGGAGGATCACCTGAGCCCAGGAGGCCAAGGCTGCAGTGACCACTGCAATCCAGCCTGGATGACACAGTGAGACCCTGTCTCCAAATAATAATAATAATAATTATTATTATTATTATTATTATTATTTTCTTTAGAAAATCCTCAGCTACTTATCAGTTGGGCAGTCAGAATTCACTGTAGGCCCCTGGAGCAAAGGCCTGCACCACTGGGTGCCTGATAAAGCCGCTAGGAAACTGAGCTCCTGGGACATCCACTGCAGAGGCGGCGCCCAGGTCTCCTGGGTGGCACAGGTCTCCCGGGTGGCACAGGTCTCCCGGGTGGCACAGGTCTCTTGGGTGGCACAGGTCTCCCGGGTGGCACAGGTCTCCCGGGTGGCACAGGTCTCTTGGGTGGCACAGGTCTCCCGGGTGGCACAGGTCTCCCGGGTGGCACAGGTCTCTTGGGTGGCACAGGTCTCCCGGGTGGCACAGGTCTCCCGGGTGGCACAGGTCTCTTGGGTGGCACAGGTCTCCCGGGTGGCACAGGTCTCCCGGGTGGCACAGGTCTCTTGGGTGGCACAGGTCTCCCGGGTGGCACAGGTCTCTTGGGTGGCACAGGTCTCCCGGGTGGCACAGGTCTCTTGGGTGGCACAGGTCTCCCGGGTGGCACAGGTCTCCTGGTTAGCACAGGTCTCCTGGTGGCACAGGTCTCCCGGGTGGCACAGGTCTCTTGGGTGGCACAGGTCTCCCGGGTGGCACAGGTCTCCCGGGTGGCACAGGTCTCTTGGGTGGCACAGGTCTCCCGGGTGGCACAGGTCTCCCGGGTGGCACAGGTCTCTTGGGTGGCACAGGTCTCCCGGGTGGCACAGGTCTCTTGGGTGGCACAGGTCTCCCGGGTGGCACAGGTCTCTTGGGTGGCACAGGTCTCCCGGGTGGCACAGGTCTCTTGGGTGGCACAGGTCTCCCGGGTGGCACAGGTCTCTTGGGTGGCACAGGTCTCCCGGGTGGCACAGGTCTCCTGGGTGGCACAGGTCTCCTGGTTAGCACAGGTCTCCTGGTGGCACAGGTCTCCCGGGTGGCACAGGTATCCCGGGTGGCACAGGTATCCCGGGTGGCACAGGTTTCTTGTAGGTACTGTCTTGGGGGGCAGCTGTTCTCGCCCTGGCCAGGTCCCCTGGACACACAGCCACTCCACGTCCCTCTGAGCCTGCCCCTTGGTGTGGGCACCTGGAGTCACCTCACCCCCAGCCTGGCCTGTCCATCGGTGCTTCCTCTGTGATGGACGTGACCTTCTGCGCTGTCCAACTCGGCAGCCAGTGGCCACACATGGCTGTGGGACACTCGAAATGTGACCAGAGCCTCCAGAAACTGAGTTTTAAGTCTGATTTTATCTTAAATCTAATGGGCACACCTGGCTAGTGGTGTGCAGTGCAGCTCTGAGAATGGGGCCTTCTGAGGCCTCTGGTGTCTGCCCACTGTCCATCCCGCTCCCTGGCCAGGATGGAGGGGGCCGAGTCCACCCCCTCCCCCAGCTCACTGGCCCTGCCCCCAGTGCACCGAACAGTGCTGTCTCCCCAGCCTGCAGCCCAGCCTGCCCTCCCTTCCCACCCTCCTCCTTCTGCTTTCTCAGTCAGGACTGTCCTGGCCACCGCCTCCAGGAAGACCCTCTGGAATCGTTCCGTCCTGTGGACGCCCCTTGCCCTGTACACACAAGGCCTGCAGAAGGGCATTTGTCAGATCCGCGTCCCCGGACCCACAGACAGCACATCTCCAGGTCTGGGTGTTCATCTTGCTGCTGCCACTGACCCTCGCCAGCCCAGGTTCCAAACCCCAGAGGGAGAAAAAGAGCAGCTGCCTCCCAGAGCTGTTGCGGGACGGGCACACACAGGGCCTGGTACACTGCAGGAGCTCACCGTGTGGTGATGTGGACGTCTCGGTAGCAGGCGAAGTACAATGGGATGTCCCCGCAGAGCTCTCCAGGCCTGCCAGAGCACAGGGGGCCTCTGGGGACACTGAGGCCCAGGGAGGGGCTGGCCCAGGCAATGTCCACTGAGCGTTGGCATGGGGCTGGGCCTGGATGCTGAGTGGTTTAGTTCTAACCACCCACTACAGTATGCATACGCACGCACACACACAGATGCACATTAACACGTGTGCACATGCACACATGAACACTCATGCACACACACATACCCACTCATGCACACACACACACCTGCACGCTCACAAACGTACACACGGGCACACACACAGATGCACATTCACACGTGTGCACATGCACACACACTCGCTCATGCACACACACCCACCTGCACACTCAGAAACACACACACGGGCGCTCACAGTGGATGCACATTAACACGTGTGCACACACATAAGTGCACAGATACATGTGCGTACACACATTCATGCACATGTGCATCCATACACTCGCACACTCACAGATGCACACGTGTGCATGCACATATATGCACACTCGCAGGAGTGCACACACACACACACACACACAACCCCCACAGAACAGTGCTGTCGGAGGCCTCTTGGTGAGAAGGGGACTAAGACCCGGCTCCATCGATCTTTCCCTGGCACAGCCTTGCAGCGGGGCTGGCTGGGAAAGCGCATTTAGTGGCCCTGAAAAGGCGGAGTCTGATTTCCTCCCTGCAAAGAGACTCAAAGCTCACGCAGAAGACGAACGACTTGCTGACTTGAGTCACCTGCACAAATCCGGTCATTAAAGCACATCCCATCTGGCGGCTCCCATCTGACCCTGTGTTCTGCTCCCGGGCAGAGGGCAGCAGGCAGTGAATTCTACTCTGGGCTCCGCTCCCGAGGCCCTCGGGCCACTTCCTGCCACAGCTGGGCTGAAAGCCCCAGGGAAGGGGCCAGACCCAGGTGACCCCAGCAGGAGGAAGCAGGGAGGGAGCAGCCCCAGGGGCAAGGAAGAAAGCAGCTTCCAACAAACCACCCCTTTAGGACAATTCACCCCTGAAGCTCACCCCAGCCCGTAAGCCCCGGCCCCACTTGGGGCTCTCCAATCAGTGCAGAAACCTCACCAGTTCCCTCTAGAATATGAGTCAGCTCTCCAGCACCTGCCCCTCCTCTACCTCAGCCCCACCCCCTGCTCAGGGAGGACGTGCTCAGGAAGCCAGACTCAAGCCCGCAGCCCTCCGCCCGCTGCCTTCGCATGTGCCCCCTGCCAGCCCTGCCATGGTCTGTCTCAGCCCCTCTGTGGGGCTTTCCTGGAGCCTGAGGCAGAATGTGGCTCTTCCCTAAGGAGTGCTTGGCCCGGGCCACAATCGGTGGCATTGTTTGCTGGACTCAAGGGGAGAGGGCCCCAGGGCAAGAGTGTTCAGTTTTCTGGATCACATGCCTGGCCAAGGGCTTGCTTCCGAACAGGTGTTTCATAAACAAATGAATGAATGAGGACTCAGTCAAAGAATTGTCCAGAGAAGTCTAGATCTATCTGCAGCCTTGAGCTCTTGCCACCTCATTCCTTCCATTTCTATCAATGTCACCTCTACCACCATCACCATCACCACCATCACCTCCACATCATCATCACCTCCACCATCACCTCTATCATCATCATCACCACCATGGTCATCACCTCCACCATCATTATCATCCTTATCATCATCATCACTGTCACCATCATCATCATCATTATCACTATTACCTCTACCATGATCATCACCTCCACCATCATTATCATCCTTTATCAACATCATAATCATCACCTCCACCACCATCATCATCACTATCACTATTACCTCTACCATGATCATCACCTCCACCATCATTATCATCCTTATCAACATCATCATCACCATCATCATCATCACTATCACTATTACCTCTACCACGATCATCACCTCCACCATCATTATCATCCTTATCATCATCATCATCATCACTATCACTATTACCTCTACCATGATCATCACCTCCACCATCATTATCATCCTTATCAACAACATAATCACCACCATCATCAACTCTATCACTATTACCTCTACCATGATCATCACCTCCACCATCATTATCATCCTTATCATCATCACCTCCACCACCATCATCATCACTATCACTATTACCTCTACCATGATCATCAGATCCTCCACCATCATTATCATCCTTATCATCATCATCATCACCTCCACCACCATCATCATCACTATCACTATTACCTTTACCATGATCATCACCTCCACCATCATTATCATCCTTATCATCATCATCACCATCATCATCCCTATCACTATTACCTTTACCATGATCATCACCTCCACCATCATTATCATCCTTATCATCATCACCTCCACCACCATCATCATCACTATCACTATTACCTCTACCATGATCATCACCTCCACCATCATTATCATCCTTATCATCTCCTCCACCACCATCATCATCACTATCACTATTACCTCTACCATGATCATCACCTCCACCATCATTATCATCCTTATCAACATCCTCATCACCATCACCATCATCAACACTATCACTATTACCTCTACCATGATCATCACCTCCACCATCATTATCATCCTTATCATCATCATCATCATCACCTCCACCATCATCACTATCACTATTACCTTTACCATGATCATCACCTCCACCATCATTATCATCCTTATCATCATCATCATCACCTCCACCACCATCATCATCACTATCACTATTACCTTTACCATGATCATCACCTCCACCATCATTATCATCCTTATCATCATCATCACCTCCACCACCATCATCATCACTATCACTATTACCTTTACCATGATCATCACCTCCACCATCATTATCATCCTTATCATCATCATCATCACCATCACCATCATCATCACTATCACTATTACCTTTACCATGATCATCACCTCCACCATCATTATCATCCTTATCATCATCATCACCATCACCATCATCATCACTATCACTATTACCTCTACCATGATCATCACCTCCACCATCATTATCATCCTTATCATCATCATCATCACCATCACCATCATCATCACTATCACTATTACCTCTACCATGATCATCACCTCCACCATCATTATCATCCTTATCAACATCATCATCACCATCACCATCATCATCACTATCACTATTACCTCTACCATGATCATCACCTCCACCATCATTATCATCCTTATCATCATCATCATCACCATCATCATCACTATCACTATTACCTCTACCATGATCATCACCTCCACCATCATTATCATCCTTATCATCATCATCATCACCATCATCATCACTATCACTATTACCTCTACCATGATCATCACCTCCACCATCATTATCATCCTTATCATCATCATCATCATCACTATCACTATTACCTCTACCATGATCATCACCTCCACCATCATTATCATCCTTATCAACAACATAATCACCACCATCATCAACTCTATCACTATTACCTCTACCATGATCATCACCTCCACCATCATTATCATCCTTATCATCATCACCATCACCATCATCATCACTATCACTATTACCTTTACCATGATCATCACCTCCACCATCATTATCATCCTTATCATCATCACCTCCACCACCATCATCATCACTATCACTATTACCTCTACCATGATCATCACCTCCACCATCATTATCCTTATCATCATCATCATCACCATCATCATCACTATCACTATTACCTTTACCATGATCATCACCTCCACCATCATTATCATCCTTATCATCATCACCTCCACCACCATCATCATCACTATCACTATTACCTCTACCATGATCATCACCTCCACCATCATTATCATCCTTATCAACATCATCATCACCATCACCATCATCATCATTATCATCATCTACCATCATTACCATCCTTCATCACCATTATCATCATTATCACCATTAGCTCTCCCATGGCTATCATCACTATCACCATCAGTATCACCTCCACCATCATTACCATCATTGCTACCATCATCATCACCATCACCATTACCTCCATCATCATCACCACTATCACCACCACTCCTACCATGGTCATCACCACCAACGTAACCGTCATCATTTTTACCATCGTTATCATCATCACCATCACCATTATCTCCATCATCACCATCACTATCATCACAATCACCATCAGCACCGTCATCACCGTCATCACCATTATCTCCACCACTGTTGCTGTGAACGCATACTGCACTATTATCACCTGAGGTACAGTGACAACGTTGTGTGATGCTAAAATGTGAGCTTTTCTATCTGCCGATGATTCGGCCTTTGTCCCTCTCTCCTTCCCCTGCCTACTCCTCTGAGCAGTTCATGCACGTGGAATCCAGGTGGCTCCAAGACCTGCTGCACTGAAAAGGGACCAGGCCCTGCCTCGAGGCCAATCTGATTCTAGCACAGTTCCTGATCCCTGCATTTCATACCTGGGGCTTTCCAATGACGCTGGCTGTTCACAGAACAAGCAGTTCTATTCCCAGCCCCGAGGCAGCCTGTTCTGGGATCCTCACAGCTTTGACATCCAGGCCAAGCCAATCTGCCTCACAGGCCACCTGCGGGCTGTCCCTGGCTTCTGGATGCCCCTTTTCCTAGAACAGTCCAGGAAGTTCAGAGACGTGGTGATGACACGCTTTCTGTCCATGTCCCACTCCTGGAAGAGGCTCTGAAATGCTCCTGGAGTCTTCTGCCCTCTGGCCACGCATCCAGATGAGCCCGACAGCCACCAGGACCCCAGATTCCAGGGCACCCGCCTCACCTCCGCATGAAACCCCGACCATAACCCCGACAGCCACCGGGACCCCAGATTCCAGGGCACCCGCCTCACCTCCGCATGAAACCCCGACAGCCACCGGGACCCCAGATTCCAGGGCACCCGCCTCACCTCCGCATGAAACCCCGACCATCAACCATCCTTATCATCATCTCCACCCTCAAGTTCTCTGCTGTGCCCTGTGAGACGTCCCTTGGCCCATGAGGGGAGCAGAAAGAGTGCTTGCTGGGTGGCCCTAGGCCTCAGTTTCCCTTTCTGCAGAGTAAGAAGTGGGAGCAAGACGATCCCAGGGGGTCCCCAGGTGAGGGCGAGGGGAAGGGGGGAAATTTTTGCAGCCAGTAAACGCCTGAGAAGATCGGGTCTACTGGTGACAGCAGGAGGCAGCTGTGGCTTCAATCCCCTGGCCTAGCCACGCAGGCTTCTCAGAGCCAGGTGGCTCACAGGGGCTGCAACGGACACCTCAAGGGTTGCCAGAAGCCAGCAGTGCTGGACAGCCTGGGAAGACTGGGATGTTTCTCCCTGCACCTGCAAGGTTGAGAGGAGAGGGGCGTCCTCGGCGGAGACCAGCAGGCCGACTCTCACCTCGGCCAGGAGCCGCTCGGCCTCTCACCTCGGCCAGGAGCCGCTCAGCCTCCCTTCTGCACAGGGATCAGGAGGGGATGCTGCTGATTCAGCCCCCGGGAAAAAGGCTTTGGAAAAGTACTGAACCCTCTGCACGGAAGGGGACGAACTCGGCCGAAGCGGTCACCTGGCAGCCTCTCCTTCTTCCTGGGCGCCCTGACAGAAGGTATGCCAGGTGAGGAGGGCAGGTGACAGGCATGGTCTCCTTTTCCAGGAGTCAGGGTTTGAAATGTGGAAAGATGTTATCAGATCCAGCGGGGTTAGCCGAGCAGCAGAGCGTACCGTGGCTGGGGGAGACAGGGCAGTCGCCCAAATGTTTCCTGGAACAGGAATGGTCAGTCCAAAGCATGCTGGGAGCCCTGGGCCCAGGCCCAGAAGTCACAGTCCTCACCAGCATGGTCAGCCTGCCAGGAGACTACCAGCGAGTGGGACAGGTGGGCAGCCCCGTCCACCACTGACCCTCCATGCAGCCTAGGCCAGACAGACTGTCCCTCCCAGCAGCAAGCTGAGCTGACCGGCTGCTCCAGCAACTCCAAGGCCGCGGGCCCCACCCGAGCGGGAGGAGACGGCGCTGCCACTCAGGGAAGCGCCAGCTACCCAGGACCTCCTCGGCAGGGCTCAGGGAGGGGGTCTGGTTTTGCTTTTTATGTGACGATAAACAAAACATCACATTCGAAGAAGGAAATTATTAAAACAAACAAGCTGACTATGTGCAGGGTGGAATAGAACTTCACCTGCCCGGGGGTTGGGGGAGGTGCATTTGTCCTGAGACTCACACCTGCAGCCCCTCACGTGGACGTAGGTCTGGTTACTGCAACCCACACTCATGTCACGGGCTCCACTGGGCTGCAGGGTTGAGCTCACAGATCGGCAGTCCACGTGCGTCCGGCATTTCAGAAGGCGCCGGATACCCCAGACCGTGGAGGCAGAAGACACCAGCATGCTCAGTGTAAACAGTTTGAAAATGCCACAGCCTGGGCTCAGTGTAAACAGTTTGAAAATGCCACAGCCTGGGCTCAGTGTAAACAGTTTGAAAATGCCGCAGCCTGGGCTCAGTGTAAACAGTTTGAAAATGCCGCAGCCTGGGCTCAGTGTAAACAGTTTGAAAATGCCGCAGCCTGGGCTAACGTGATGTGACATTTCTCTCATTTTCAACACACAGGGAACTTCCGAGAAGCAAGTGGCCCGGGGCCCATTCCTGGCATGACTGTGGCCCATTCCCTGCCTAGCCCCACCCTGTCTGCCTAGCTGCAGGGTTGCAACGCAGCTGAGAGGGGTGCTGGCCTGAGGGCTCCTGGAAAGGGGGTGCTGAGGTCCCCATGAGACATGCAGTGCCGTGGGCTTCTCGGGACTCATCTCGGAGAAACGGCAGGGATGGGAGCTCGCTGGCCCACAGAGGGAGGGCCTGGGCTGGGGCTGTCCGTCCCAAACCTTCCACGTGACTCTGCCAGAAGGACAGCCTCAGAGCGGGAAGGACAGGGCAGATTTTCAACACCCGCCTTTCTGTTCTTCCTAAGTCACTCACTGAACTGTGCAGGAAGGAGCCACATGCTGAGGGCAGACACAGGGCCCGGGGATGCCCCGATGGTGCCGGGGACCACAGACCCCATGCAGCAGCTACTCCTCCCCAAGCACCTTCTCGGCAAAGCCTCCTGTGTCAGACACGAGAGACACCCACAGCCTGCGGCCCCAGAAGACCAGGGCTCAGAGGAGTCCCGGTCCTGGCACGCCGGCCCTGCCCTCGGCCAGCCACCCCCGATACAGGGAGTGGTCGGGGCCTGGGACCCCCCACCACTGCCTGTGAGGCGAGATCAAGCTGCACCCGGCCACGCCCAGCCTCAGTCGTGGGCAGCAAGGAAGACTTTTAAAGGCTGACTTCACAACTCCCGACTGGGCTTGTCGCCCTTGTAAAAGCCCAGCTGAGGAAAGAGGCCCAGGACGCAGCTCTGAGGTCAGCGTCCCACTGAGGGCACGAGGAGGGGGACTCGGCAGAACCGGGTGAAATCCTGGCGGCCGAGCCCGGGAAGGCTCTCGTGCTCTCCTCCTCACGAAGGAAGGCCCCACAGGCGTCACGCCTCCACTTGCCGGGACGGCCTCCCTGGGCCTCAAAGGGCACCAGAAAGGCAGGGGCAGGAAGGCAGCCCCCAGGGGGGCACTGAGCAGCCGTGATGCCCACATCTTCTGGGGTCTGCCCAGGACCAGTTCCCAGGAGCTGCCTGCAGCCCCCAACACCGTGCATCCTTCTCTCCCTCCCCCCAGAGCTGGCCACACCCAAACCCCTTCCCTTAGAAGGATTTCCCTCAGCTCTGAAAAACAACACAGGAGGTGTACTAATTGTGGTTATTCATACTAAAGTAGGAATGACGACTGAGCTGACCTCTCCCAGGCCTTTCGTGGCTGGCAGAATAACGGTCCCCCAAAGTTGTCCGCATCTGAACCCCAGGACCTGTGACTGCTGCCTCGCGTGGCGGGAGGCACAGTGCAGATGTGACTGAGGCTCTGGGGAAGGAGAGACCACAGCGTCCCTGCAAGAGGGGCCGAGGGAGACCTGACTTCAGAAGACGCTGCGCGGCCGGCTCTCAGGATGGAGGAGGGACCCCAGCCGCCAACGCAGGCGCCTCCAGGAGCCGGAAGGGCCAGGACACGGCTCCTCCCTGAGCCTCCCGGGGGAGCTCAGCCTGCACGTCCTTTTAGACCCCTGCACTCTGGGCTGGGAAGAGGACGCTTGTGTTGTCTGAAGACACTGCGTTTGCCGTGATTTGTTCCAGCAGCCAAGGAGGGGAATACAGGATACCCAGCCACACGAAGGCAGGGCAGATGGACACGGTGATTTAGTCCCAGCTGGAAAGGCTGTGAAATTACGACCTGTTTCCTCCAAATCCGGTCAGGCCATCAATGCTAAGGCTCATGACACTTAGAAAACCACACAGAATGATCGAGAGAAGGCACTGCTGTTCACAAAGGAGCCAGAGAGAGGGTGACAAACACCACACGTGCATCCCCGGGCCAGGCGACGCGTCCTCACGGGAGCCCCCATGGCTCTCGCGGCTGCCCCCATTTTAAAGACAAGGAAACCGAGGTCTGGAAGGAGACAGAGGCGTCTGCAGAATCGCACGGCCAGAACATGGCACAGCTTGGACGGGAACCAGGAGTCTGACTCAGGCCTGTGATCTTTTCTTCAGGGCCCTCCAAAAACCACACACCAGCTCCTGCTGTTCCGAACGTCCGTGTTTCCTCCCGGATCTGGGCCCCTCTCAGGAAGGCTGGGGCTGCAGGCCCAGAGGTCTGCAGAGGACCCATCCCTGGAGAGGTCCTGGCTCCAAGAGGATTCGTTGTTTCTCCGAAATCCAGGGCTCCTTAACAACTGTGGCTTCAGCGGGAGGGACACCACGCCGGGTGCCCCGTCCTGCAACGCACACGATCCCGGCACGGCTGAGGGGCCGGTCAGCCGCGGCGCTAGGCATTCCCGGAGCTGGCCCCTCCAACTGCTGTTAGGACCACGTGGCACCTTCTCATAGAACGGTTCCCACTGTTGCTGCTAACAAACATTTCAACGCTCTTCAGTTTGTGGGAAAATAGAAAACGTTTGCTTTGGTTAAAAATAGAGGAAACTGGCAGCTTATTACCAATGCCTATGAGGGACTAGAAGCCAACAGGGATGTGGCTCTCACTCTGAGCTAAGCGCTGTGCTAAGCTGTTTGAGTGAATTGATTCGCAAAACCTTCGGGACCCCCTGCTCTACAGTCACGGAGATGGCCAGTGCAGGCAGTGACCCAGGGCCACGCGTGCAGGTGTGAGGGTTGCTCTGTCCAGGGAGGAGACGGCTCTGTGGAGCCACGGGATGTCCCTGGACGGGGTCTGAGAGGTGGGGGGCTGGGCCGCGTTCTCTCCACTGGACACATGGGAGAACAGACAGGTAGCCACAAGGTCTGCTCACCCAGGGCCACCGACTCCCACCCTCTCCAGGTGGATGGGGAGTGGGGTGTCCCCCGAGGTTTTTCCAAGAAGCATTGCAGAGGAGGCAGCTCAGGGCGTCAGCAAAGAGCCACTGTCCTTCCTTGCTCCCGCTGCTACCCAGCTGGGCCGGCGGCCGAGCAGGGAAAGGGGCGTCCAGTCTGATGAGGGAGGCAGATGCCTTCCCCGGCTCAGCGTGTCCCACAAAGCAGGGACAGCCCGACGAGGCCGACGGAACGGATGCCGGGTCGGCGGCAGAGACCAACAGCAAACCATCAGGCGGAACCCTGGGCAGGGGCGGGTGCTGGGGCCGGAGGATGGAGTCCTTGGGTGTCCTGCTCAGCACAGAGGACCGCCCCAGGCCCCTGGGCACAGATGGGAAACTGAGGCCCAAAGAGGGGTGGGTCAAACACCAACCATTCATGCATTATGGAAAACCACCACCTCCCAAACCCTGCCAGACAGGCAGAAAAAGACCCGGTGCCTGAGAGGCCGTAAGAGCTGGGAAGCCTGCACACACCGCCAGGTGCCCACTCAGCCAGACGCACGCGCCCCTCACAGATGCTCCTCTGTGCCTAAGGCCTCCTGCTCACCCTCCTGGAAACAGGCAGGCAGCCTCCTGACCACACTTGGGCTTACCAAGAACACCATCCCCAGGCCAGGCCACACAGTGCAGCTGCTGGATGACCTCAGCCAGAACCCTCCTCCCACGGAGCCCTCCACGCCAGGACCCTCCTCCCACGGGGCCCTCGACGCCGGGACCCTCCTCCCACAGAGTCCTCCACGCCGGGACCCTCCTCCCACGGGGCCCTCCACGCCAGGACCCTCCTCCCACGCGGCCCTCGACGCCGGGACCCTCCTCCCACAGAGTCCTCCACGCCGGGACCCTCCTCCCATGGGGCCCCACTGATGCGTGTCATTCACCACCACCAAAGTGTCAGTCGACGTCTCCCGCCCCGGCCACCCCGGGCTCCCCGAACATGCTGCTGCTGCTCCTGCTCTGCCCTCCAGGGGTCCTCGCTGCCCCGGAACAGACCCCCCAGCGCACCCACTCCTGTCTCCCGTCTGCATGATGGTTGGGGTCGGCCACGCCAGCCTTCCTGATGCTTGGATGGGAGGGTCCTGCTGGGGCTGCTGCTCCTGCCTCTGTACTCGCTGCCCTGGCCTGGACCACCCTGGCCTGTGTCTTCCAGCATCATCTCCCAGGCCGTCTTTTCTTTCATAGCTCACTGCATCCTCAGCCTCCTGGGCTCAGGCGAAACTCCCACCTCAGCCTCCCGAGTAGCTGGGACTATAGGACCCACCGGGGTCCAGCAGCGGGTCCACACTGAAGCCAGGTTGATGTGGCGCTTTTCCCTTCATTTACTGGTAGGTATTATTCAGTATATTATTGAGAGCAGTAAACACACAGGACTCTTCCCTTCATTAACCGATAGGTATTATTCAGTATATTATTGAGAGCAGTAAACACACAGGAATTTTCCCTTCATTTACCAATAGGTATTATTCAGTATATTACTGAGGGCAGTAAACACACAGGACTTTCCATGTGCCAGGCTCTATCCTCAGAGCTTTCTGTATCGCGACTCATCTAATACCAGGCTCTATGGGGCAGGCGTTTTTCCACCGATTTTACAGATGGGAACACTGAATCGGGGAGACACCAAGGACCTGTCTGAGGTGGCCGGCCAGGGTGAGGCATGTGGACCAGACGGCCCGGCCACCCTCCATCCACCCACGGCCCCACAGGAGCCTCGTGAAGGGCTCCTGGTGTTCCGAACGCCGGGACACAGAGGTCCAGCCACGAGGCTCTGCTGTAATAAATAACCACAGACAGGGGCACTTTAAGCCACGGGGATCTGTTCCCCCCCCCCCCCACCCCGTCCTGGGGACAAGAAATGCAAGGCTGAGCTGTGGGCAGGGCTGAGCTCCCCGTGGAGACTCTAGGGAGGATCCTTCTTGCCTCTCCCAGCTCTGGGGGCTCCAGGAGCTCCTGGGCTTGTTACTGCAGCCCTGCATCCCCTTCCCTTGGCCTCCTCCTCTGCGTTTAATCTCCCTCCACCTCCCTCTTATGAGGACAGGGGATTGCATTTTGGGCCCAGGGAAAGTCCTCATCTCGAAGTCTTTAATTTAACCACACCTCCAAAGACCGCTTTTCCAAAGAAGGTGACATTTACAGGTTCCACGGCCGGGGCCCGAGATACTCGGGGCACCTTCCAGAGGGTCGCGGAAGCGGAAGCTGGTCCTTCCCCATCCCCCTACCCCATCTTTCTATCCCATTTCTCTTGGATTCCCTTCTCCAGGGCCAAACTCAGGGAGGCCCAAAACTAGATAAGACAGACACTTTCTTATTCCTCCAAACACACTAGATCCCTGACTCACTAAATGAAGGCACGGAGGCAAAAATTAGCCTTTCTATCTTGGGTAATCTTCTCATCACTCACACAGCAGAAAACCACCACCTGTCATTAGCGAGATATATTAAGCTGTTTAATACCAGGCTTTCAGCCGGCAGAGCTCTGGAAGGTGCGGGGCTCTCCCTGGCAGTGACTCCGGCACGACCTTTTGGTCCCCGAGTTCGCGGTCCACGCTTCCTGCCCATTTCTGCGTCACTTGTTCCAGCCCCGTGGGGTAGGTGTTTGGCAAAACGCGGCCGTCTTATTTAAAACCCCTGGCACCTTGCTCATCCCCCATCTGTCATTCTCACGATGTGCCACCGCTGTGGTCTGGACTGTTTGCGTGAGGACGGCGAGCTCTCCAGCCACAGGGCTGCAGGCAGGAGGGGCCCCATTGGGCTCGGCCAGGACCTGGACCAGCTGCAGCCAAGGCCTTCCCGCTCAACACAGGAGGTCTTTTTCAGCGGCCATGTGTGAGTCAGGAGAACTGGGAATGAGAATGGCACAGGGCCCAGGAAGGACCGGAGGGCGGCGATGTGCGGAATTATTTATACACCAGCCAGAACACATTGCAGCAAAGTTCCCAGAAAATGCATTCCTCACAGAAAAGGGGGCTGCCTCATTGCACGTGGAAGGAAACTCACTTCCCACACATCGGAGCCCAGACAATCCGCCTATTTCACACAAACCCGGAGGTGCTGAAGGTTATGACGAGACCTCATCTGGACGTGAAGGGCCCCTCCTGGGTGGGACATTTCCCTGCTTCTGGTCCTAGAGTGGCCCCCGTGGGGCTGACAGGGAGGCATCTTGGTGGTGGGGGGGTGGGGTGCGTGGGTGGGGCAGGGTGTGGCCCGACTACGGGTCCTGGTGTCGCTACTCACCCTGGCTGTGATCCCCATCCATGAACAAGATGCCTGGTGGGCGGTCTTGGAAGGGGCTCCCAGTGCTGAGTTTGAGGAGGAGGAATCCCCAGCGTGGGACCCTCCAGCCAGCATGCAGTTGTTACAGGTCAGGACTACAAACACGTTGAGGAGGCTGCCCGGGACCCCACTCATGCCGTCAGCAGGAGCCGTGAGAGTCGTGGCGTCTGTTCAGTCAGGTCACTCTTGGTGGAGGATGTGGGATGGACCCACAGGTGCCGTGGAGGCTGGCAGCTGTGCTGAGATGCTAAGGACCTCAGCTCCAGGCACCAGTTGTCCAAACCTGAGCTTCTTGTTGGGACAGGTCATTCCCCTGGCTCACACCGGCTCTGTGGAAACGCTGCCCTCAGAGGAGAGCTGGGGGTGTAGGCAGCGGGCGTCTCCCCTTCCACCCTCCACAGCCCCCATGGCAGTGTCAGCCTCTCACAGGGGAGGGACAGGGACACGGACCTGGCTTGTTGACCCCACACTGAGCCGTGACACCAGCCCCCTGGGTGGCCAGTCTTGGGGGTCTCCTCAACCCAGCAGAGGGGCCTGAGTCCTCACAGTCTGAGACAGCCACACTGACAAGAGCCCCTGTGATCTAAGGACTAGAGATTTCCAAGCTTTTCCAATGAACCTGCCTTCTTCGGAACCCATGGGGACAGGCAGCACTGAGCCAAGACCCTGCCCAGGGCAGGGGTCGCCTACTGACCTATCTTTTATTTTCTCAGAATTTCTCTGATTGGCCACGGGCCTCATCACAACCATGCCAGGCGGATGGCTTTCCCCCCTGGTGTTTCGTTACGCAGGCACAGGCCTGTGCGCCTGACTGAGCCCGCCGTCCCCCATCAGCTCTGACGGGTCGCTGTGGTGCGGCTAAAGGGCTTCAGAACCATTCAGGTGAACCCTAGGACCCTCCTAACCGGCCCCAGGTACCCCTCCCGGGTCTGCAGGAAACCTCTGCGCCAGCTCTTCAACGTGAGACACAGAAGAAGGAGAGAATCATTTCTTTGGCTGGAAAATCATCTCAGAAGAGGCTCTTCAACCTCTTACGGTCAATTTAATGAAAATCCATTTTAAAATGATTCAGTGATTTGCAACTGTAAAAGTCTGAAGTCATTTCCACTTGAAAACAATTGCGATGGTTTAGACTTTATTTCAAAAGCAAACGGGGAAAAAGAATTGCTTGAAAGTCTCAGACCCACTGTAGTTTTAAACACGCTACTGTCGGCTCATCCAGTATTCATGGACAGGACTCAGGGAAGTACGACTAGACTGGAAATGAACGCGGGCTCCCCGGTAGCCTGAAAACACAGGTGCAGACATCTTTCCTATGAAACCCTTGTGATGCTTCCTTTCATTTCAAAGTAATAAAAGGGTAAGCTGCTACTAACTACTAAACCAGGATTAAATATTGAGCACCAAGGTTACTGTTACAATCTTGTTTTTCCTCCGTGGAGCCCTAGATGTTTAAAAAAAACATCAGTAAGAAAAATAAACTAAATGCATAGTTAGGGGCTAGTGTTTGAGCCCGTTCTCTGCTTGTCTAAGGAGATCTTAAATCTGCAGTTTCCTTTTTTGGCATTAAAAACAACCAGACCTGAGCAAACTGCTTTTGAATGAAATCCCCTGGCTTCCATTTTCGTCCCCAGTACGAGGAAAATGAAGGCCATATTTTCTTTCCCGTCCTTTTAATCTTCCCTCCCTTTCGTGACAATTAGAACGATGGCCCACACACTAGCGGCACCCCGGCGACCGTCATAACTGGAGAAAATACAAAAAGACCCTCGATATTGCCGTTCTGGGGAATGCTTTTGGAAAAAAAAAATGACTTTCCTTGATTTTCAACAAATGGGGTAATCTTTTCCAGGAGACCCCACGGAAACACACATCCTCAGTCGGCCAGGGTCGGACGGCCTGGGGAGGCTGAGAAGGCCTAATCGGAACAGCCGAGGGGAGGGTGCCAGTGTGGGCTTGGACGGCTGCAGGGACGGGCCTCAGCTTCCCCATCGGTAAAGTGGGTGCAGGGCCCAGAACCGCACTCTCTGAGGGTTTTGCTGTTTTTACCATTTATTCATTTCCCTGTCAGATTCTCTGCAATGGTTACATAATTGTTAATAATTTCCTTTTACTTATTAAGCAAAGAAATGTCTAGCTGCCAGGTGAGGGCAGGAGAAGACAGCTACCTTCTGTGGCCAGCCTCAGTTGATGTAACTTTGGCCACCAGTAAATCATCAGGGTGTCTGGACAAGCCAAAGTGACCTCAGAGGCCAGAGGCTCCAGCCCGGGCGGATTCGGGCCTGTCGTGGGCAGTGGGGTGGAGCGGCCGCCTGTGCCCGTCCCCACAGACCTGCGAGAGGGTGGAGTCTCTTAACACCACCTGGTATCGGGGCCACGACCGGGGGGCACACGGGGCCACCTGAGAGGCCCAGCCGGGCGGCCGTGTGGCTGCGGGACAGCGACTCCCTCCTCCCTGAGCCTTGGGCCCTCGTCCTTGGCTGGTAAGCGCTGGGACTCTTGTGAGGGTGACTAGGCCTTGTGGCACGCCCCTCTGAGTCAGCCCATGCAGGAGACACGCTGTTAACGTTGATCTGTTTTCAAACCTTCCACCCCCTGCACTGTGACCCTCCAGGGCCCCTCCTAGCCGGTCTTCTCCAGGGACTCAGACAGCTTAGCCGGTCACGAGGCAGAGGAAGGGAATCCGTCCTCTGTGGTGGGACATGGGGTGCGTGGACACCAAGAGGGCGGCCTGCAGTGGGCCCAGGCTGAACCCAGTGGGTTTGGGAGGTGCAGCTCCTTCTCCAAAGGCCTCCATCGCACTCCAGGCCACACACCCTAGCAGGTCAGGTGAGCCCTGGTGTCTGACCCCCAAGATCACCCCTGCTTCTTCTCCCATCCGGTCTCATGGAACTCAGTGAAACCCAGGTTGTTCTGCGCAATGAGAGAAGGCTCAGGGGACAGCCGCCGTGCGACCCCATGAGGGTGCCATTCTGCGCAATGAGAGAAGGCTCAGGGGACAGCCGCCGTGCGACCCCGTGACGGTGCCATTCTGCTCAGTGAGAGAAGACTCAGGGGACAGCCGCCATGCGACCCCCGTGACGGTGCCATTCTGCGCAATGAGAGAAGGCTCAGGGGACAGCCGCCGTGCGACCCCGTGACGGTGCCATTCTGCTCAGTGAGAGAAGACTCAGGGGACAGCCGCCATGCGACCCCCGTGACGGTGCCATTCTGCGCAATGAGAGAAGGCTCAGGGGACAGCCGCCGTGCGACCCCGTGACGGTGCCGTTCTGCTCAGTGAGAGAAGGCTCAGGGGACAGCCGCCATGCGACCCCCGTGACGGTGCCATTCTGCGCAATGAGAGAAGGCTCAGGGGACAGCCGCCATGCGACCCCCGTGACGGTGCCATTCTGCGCAATGAGAGAAGGCTCAGGGGACAGCCGCCGTGCGACCCCGTGACGGTGCCATTCTGCTCAGTGAGAGAAGGCTCAGGGGACAGCCGCCGTGCGACCCCGTGACGGTGCCATTCTGCTCAGTGAGAGAAGGCTCAGGGGACAGCCGCCGTGCGACCCCGTGACGGTGCCGTTCTGCTCAGTGAGAGAAGGCTCAGGGGACAGCCGCCATGCGACCCCCGTGACGGTGCCATTCTGCGCAATGAGAGAAGGCTCAGGGGACAGCCGCCGTGCGACCCCGTGACGGTGCCATTCTGCTCAGTGAGAGAAGACTCAGGGGACAGCCGCCATGCGACCCCCGTGACGGTGCCATTCTGCGCAATGAGAGAAGGCTCAGGGGACAGCCGCCGTGCGACCCCGTGACGGTGCCGTTCTGCTCAGTGAGAGAAGGCTCAGGGGACAGCCGCCATGCGACCCCCGTGACGGTGCCATTCTGCGCAATGAGAGAAGGCTCAGGGGACAGCCGCCATGCGACCCCCGTGACGGTGCCATTCTGCGCAATGAGAGAAGGCTCAGGGGACAGCCGCCGTGCGACCCCGTGACGGTGCCATTCTGCTCAGTGAGAGAAGGCTCAGGGGACAGCCGCCGTGCGACCCCGTGACGGTGCCATTCTGCTCAGTGAGAGAAGGCTCAGGGGACAGCCGCCGTGCGACCCCGTGACGGTGCCGTTCTGCTCAGTGAGAGAAGGCTCAGGGGACAGCCGCCATGCGACCCCCGTGACGGTGCCATTCTGCGCAATGAGAGAAGGCTCAGGGGACAGCCGCCGTGCGACCCCGTGACGGTGCCATTCTGCTCAGTGAGAGAAGGCTCAGGGGACAGCCGCCATGCGACCCCGTGACGGTGCCATTCTGCTCAGTGAGAGAAGGCTCAGGGGACAGCCGCCATGCGACCCCCGTGACGGTGCCATTCTGCGCAATGAGAGAAGGCTCAGGGGACAGCCGCCGTGCGACCCCGTGACGGTGCCATTCTGCTCAGTGAGAGAAGGCTCAGGGGACAGCCGCCATGCGACCCCCGTGACGGTGCCATTCTGCGCAATGAGAGAAGGCTCAGGGGACAGCCGCCGTGCGACCCCGTGAGGGTGCCGTTCTGCTCAGTGAGAGAAGGCTCAGGGGACAGCCGCCATGTGACCCCGTGACAGTGCCGTTCTGCTCCGTGAGAGAAGGCTCAGGGGACAGCCGCCGTGCGACCCCCGTGACGGTGCCATTCTGCTCCGTGAGAGAAGGCTCAGGGGACAGCCGCCATGCGACCCCGTGACAGTGCCGTTCTGCTCCGTGAGAGAAGGCTCAGGGGACAGCCGCCGTGCGACCCCGTGACGGTGCCGTTCTGCTCCGTGAGAGAATGCTCAGGGGACAGCCGCTGTGAGACCCCCGTGAGGGTGCCGTTCTGCTCTGTGAGAGAAGGCTCAGGGGACAGCCGCCGTGCGACCCTGTGACGGTGCCATTCTGCGCAATGAGAGAAGGCTCAGGGGACAGCCGCCGTGCGACCCCCGTGATGGTGCTGGCGGGCCGGGAGCCCGGGGCAGACACAGGACGGTCCTGGGGTGGAGGGCCGGGCAGGCTCAGGGGTCCCAGGTGCCCCTCAGGGGCAGCACCCATTCAGCCTCCTCGTCCTTCTGTGCTTCTGAGATGCCTGGGGCAGGGGACCCCATAGAGTCTCTCGAAAGCTCATTTCAGGATTGTTCTTCAAATGAAAAAAGTTCATTTTTCTTCTGACTATAAAAATAAGCCAGGAAACTGGAAGCAACGTGAACGTCCTCTACCTGGGGCCGGCAAGGCCAATGCCGGGACCACCTGCGGCATCCGCGTAAGGGCCCCTCCCTGTGACTGCAGCTGCAGGCTGACCCCTCTGCAGGCACCAGGTGCCGTCCCCACGGGGCTCGGTGCAGCAGCCGGGACGCCCCACACACAGACGAGCCGGCTGCAGACGTCACTTGCAGGGACATGTCCGCCCCACGGCATCTGCCCCACCATGTGCCCGCCTGCCCCTCTGCTCCTCCTGCATCCTTTGCAGTGGTTGCCTCTGCGAGGCCCACAGCCACCAGGACAGCCCCGGAGAGCGAGACAGACGGGCTCCTTGGCCTCTACCCCGGCAGGCTCTGTGATCATTCACTTGCTCAGAACCACACATCGAGCCCCTGCTATGTGGCTAGTGCTGCGGACACAATGCTGAGCTAAGACTCAGCACCCACCCGCCGTGGAGCCTGCAGCCCAGCGGACGATCTGACAACACGGAAATCCCCACGTCTCCATCCCTGTGAGGCTGGGACAGCTGTACACGCCCACACTTCAGGCTTTGGACAGAAGGGAGCTCGCCCCAGGCCCTCTCACTGAGAACTGGGGACCAGCCCTGGTCCCATCTGCCCTTCATAGGAACACACACGGGTTCCATTCATACACACGTGCACACTCCCCCACATTCACATAAGCCTACACACACGTGCATGAGTGTGCACACACACGCCCTCACATACACATGCACGGGCACACACACGTACAGATGCCCACACATGCACCCACACAGCACCTGCATGACAACAGATGAACGCCCTCACACACACATGCACACGTGTGTACACACACCCACACATGCACACCCTTACACACGTTACACATGTACACGTCACACACGCACACCGACACGTGCACCCACACAGGACATGCATGCACACACATGCCCTTACACACTCATACACATGCATACACAGGCAATGCACACCCACACGCTCACCTACTCATACACATGAGCACATGCTCATGCCCACCCCCAGCACCAAGCAGCACTCCAGGCACTCTGCCTGCCACGGTGCTGCCTCCCCTTGTGCTGGGCTGCTCTCCAGCCTTTGGTTGGCACCTCAGGGCCCCTCACTTCCGCTCTCCAGCCTTTGGTTGGCACCTCAGGGCCTGTCCCTTCACCTCTTGCTGGGATCCTGGCCCCAGGGTCTCAGAGCCCCCAGGAGGGGCAGGGCCTCCGTGGACACCTGTGCACTCCCCTCTCAGTGCCAGCCCTGGGCCTGGGGGGTTCAGGCCGTTCTTCACCAGGCATCTGCTTCCTGAGCCTGTGCCAGGGCAATCCACTCCCTTACTGAGGGCCTGCAAGTCTGGGGACCACAGTGGGGGCTGACGGTGACCCCAGCTGCTCTCAGTACCCAACTGCAGCACTGGGCTCCTCTGGACACCCAAGTCCCTCCATCCTCACTGCCGGGGGCTGGACCAGGCCTGCCCTGACTCTCACAGGGCGCTCACTCTCCACTGACCCATAACACCCACTGAGAAGCTTTCTAAGAAACAAAACACAACAGCACAGCTGCCCTGGACCTCCAGACATCCCTGCGTGGCCTCCAGCCCTGCCCTGTCTCCTGACTTGCGCACTTCTGGCTCCCCACAGGCCCCTCCCTCCCGGGTGCCCAGATGCTAAGAACGGCTCCTGCAGCCCCCTGCCCTGCTGGAGACGAGGCTCCGCCCTGTGCCCAGATGCTAAGAACGGCTCCTGCAGCCCCCTGCCCTGCTGGAGACGAGGCTCCACCCTGTGCCCAGATGCTAAGAACGGCTCCTGCAGCCCCCTGCCCTGCTGGAGACGAGGCTCCGCCCTGTGCCCAGATGCTAAGGACGGCTCCTGCAGCCCCCTGCCCTGCTGGAGACGAGGCTCCGCCCTGTGCCCAGATGCTAAGGACGGCTCCTGCAGCCCCCTGCCCTGCTGGAGACGAGGCTCCGCCCTGTGCCCAGATGCTAAGAACGGCTCCTGCAGCCCCCTGCCCTGCTGGAGACGAGGCTCCGCCCTGTGCCCAGATGCTAAGAACGGCTCCTGCAGCCCCCTGCCCTGCTGGAGACGAGGCTCCGCCCTGTGCCCAGATGCTAAGAACGGCTCCTGCAGCCCCCTGCCCTGCTGGAGACGAGGCTCCGCCCTGTGCCCAGATGCTAAGAACGGCTCCTGCAGCCCCCTGCCCTGCTGGAGACGAGGCTCCGCCCTGTGCCCAGATGCTAAGAACGGCTCCTGCAGCCCCCTGCCCTGCTGGAGACGAGGCTCCGCCCTGTGCCCAGATGCTAAGAACGGCTCCTGCAGCCCCCTGCCCTGCTGGAGACGAGCCTCCGCCCTGTGCCCAGATGCTAAGAACGGCTCCTGCAGCCCCCTGCCCTGCTGGAGACGAGGCTCCGCCCTGTGCCCAGATGCTAAGGACGGCTCCTGCAGCCCCCTGCCCTGCTGGAGACGAGGCTCCGCCCTGTGCCCAGATGCTAAGGACGGCTCCTGCAGCCCCCTGCCCTGCTGGAGACGAGGCTCCGCCCTGTGCCCAGATGCTAAGAACGGCTCCTGCAGCCCCCTGCCCTGCTGGAGACGAGGCTCCGCCCTGTGCCCAGATGCTAAGAACGGCTCCTGCAGCCCCCTGCCCTGCTGGAGACGAGGCTCCGCCCTGTGCCCAGATGCTAAGAACGGCTCCTGCAGCCCCCTGCCCTGCTGGAGACGAGGCTCCGCCCTGTGCCCAGATGCTAAGAACGGCTCCTGCAGCCCCCTGCCCTGCTGGAGACGAGCCTCCGCCCTGTGCCCAGATGCTAAGAACGGCTCCTGCAGCCCCCTGCCCTGCTAGAGACGAGGCTCCGCCCTGTGCCCTGGGCCCACCATCCGGGCTCTCACTTCTCAGGCATGGGAGGCCTCCTGTCCTTGCTCCCCAGGGCGTGACGGCTGGGTGCCCAGGGAAAATGCAGCTGACCGCCCCAGGCCTCCTATGCTCGAGCACCAGATGACCTGCCCACCACGTGGAGCTTCCTGTGTGCACGGGTCCCGCCCTCCCTCCGGCCTCTCTCCCCTGCACACGTGGCCAGCACAGGCCCTTGCAGGAATGTTCCTCTCCAGACCGCCCCCTGCTGCCGACCATGCCATTCAGGTCTCAGCTCCAACGCCGCCTCCTAGGACTTCCCCAGGCGGTGCCTACACAGAGGTCATGCTTAACTCAGTTTGTGGGAGAGACCCCAGAAGGTCAGTGGAACAACGCCCCCTTCACCAAGCCCGTCTCTGCCATGCTCCTTCGTTTCAGTCCCTCCACGCATCACCCCTCTCTGAAACGTTCCTGCGTATTTGTTCACGTGCGTTGACCACGCCCCCCGGGAATTTAAGCTCCACTTGAGGTGGGAACCTGCGTGAGCAGCATCCCCAGCCACAGCAGGCGCCCAGTGGGTGGGCCCAGCGACTCTGCTGGGCAGGGCAGGGGTGAGAGGAGAATGGACTTGGCCTCTGCTCAAGGGCCTAATTTCCTGAGTTTATAAGGGACAGGCTCTCAGGCAGGACCCAGGAGGCCACTTCCATGCCAGGAGCCAGCAGCTCTGGGCACAGGGACCCCACCACAGCGAGGGCAGCATGTGGGGGTCCCGGCAGCTTCCAATGAGGTGGATCAACCTTCCTGCAAGGGGTCTTGGCTTGGCTTCCCCCAGGGAGTCAGCAGGAGCTCCTGAGTGCCAGGCAGCTTTGCCCAGCCAGACCCAGGGTGAGGAGCGGGCTTGGAGGCCGGCCCACACCCAGTGTGGACACAAAGGGGTCCTTGTCCAGGTCTGGTCAGGCCCAGGCCTCTGCTGGGTCCACACCCACCCAGCCCATTGGGCAATCTGTTTGCCTTTGGAACCGGTGAGGCCACAGTGGAGAGAAACATGAATTTTTATCAGCAGAACAGAAAATCCTTCGAAATTCCAAACCGATCCCTCACTGGTCCTCAAAACCATTTTGTTTCCCCGAGCCTTAGTTCATGGGCTCTAGGAGAAGAGCCAGTGTGAGCCCAGCTCCCCTGCCCTCCCCGTCCTTACCCCGGCCCTGGAGGCCAGGTCCCTGCCTGGCAGGATTCACCCAGGAGTCTCTGCAGGACACCCTGGGCTGACTGCTGGACAGTCCTCTTGGCCAGAATTGCTTTTCCTGTGGCTCCCAAGGCCTTCAGCCAAGGCCCCAGGAGGGGTCTGCACAGCCACAGCCGAGGCACCTCCTGCTGCTTCAGGTACCGGATTCGAAGCCAAGCCCCCACTCTGAGAGGGAACGCGCCTCCCTCAGACCCCGCCGACAGCCCTGGCTGGGCGTTGCTGTCCCGGGCTGGCCATTGCTGTCCTGGGCTGGGCGTTGCTGTCCTGGGCTGGCCATTGCTGTCCTGGGCTGGGCGTTGCTGTCCTGGGCTGGGCGTTGCTGTCCTGGGCTGGGTGTCCTTCACTTTTCATCCATGCACTCAGCAAGCACGGACTGTGCACATTCACGGTGGGGTTCATGCAGCGACCCCAGCCCCTCCCCCCATTCTCCACCTGTTCACCTGCCCAGCCCTGGACAACAAAGTCACATGCTCCCCTCAAACCTCGCCCCAGGTGGAGCCTGGCTTCCTGCATCACGGAGAAGGGACAAGAACCGCAGAAGGCAACCGTGCCTCCAAACACCACCACCACCCATGGTGACGACCCCAGGAGGGGCCAGCCTCTGTGCGGTGGGGAGCACTGGGGAACCCTCACTTTATGTCCTGTCTGAGCCACTAACAGGTTCTGAGCAAGTCCCGTCCATGCCACTGGGTTTGGGCTGGACCAGAGTGATCTGTCCGTCCTGGGCCCGTGTCAGCTCCCGGCCGGACGGGAGTGATCTGTGCGTCCTGGGCCCGTGTCAGCTCCCGGCCGGACAGGAGTGATCTGTGCGTCCTGGGCCCGTGTCAGCTCCCGGCCGGACCGGAGTGATCTGTGCGTCCTGGGCCCGTGTCAGCTCCCGGCCGGACGGGAGTGATCTGTGCGTCCTGGGCCTGTGTCAGCTCCTGTCACCTCTCCCACCTCGGTTTCCCAGTCTATACTAATCAATAAGCATTGGCTGAGTGAGCCCTGGGATGGAGGAGTGACCAGCCCTGTCCTCGGCTGGGCCACGTGGTGGACACGGGTCATGTCCAGAGAGCCAGGAGGCGTCAGAGCGGTGGTGAGGCCGCACAACGATGCCCACACACTTGTCACTCAGACCCTGCCCCGCCCTCCCTCTGACCAGGCTTGGAGCTTGGCGTCCCGGCCTCCCTTCAGCTCCCCGGCTGGGCCACGAGCTTACCAGGACATTGAGCAGGTCGTGCAGTCCCGTCAGAGGGGCCACACCCGAGGGTCAGTGCGGGTGAACTGAGGAGGCAGCACGCAGCGCGGCACTGGACGGAGGCCCCGCAGGACACACGGAGGGACCCTCCAGGACGGGAGCACCGGAAAGGGGCCCCGGCTGCCAGGAAGTGCTGAGCCCAGGCCTGCAGGGCGAGGAGCTGCCGGAAAGGCCCCACAGCCACGTGGTGAACACCTAAATACTTTGCTTCATTGAGAAAAGCAGCCAGTGTGGTTGTGGCTGGGCTTGAGCTGCCGGGTGAACGCTGTGGCCTGCCTGGCAGCTCGTGTGACCCCGTTTCACAGACGAGGAGGCTGAGGCCCGGGGAAGTTCGAGAGCCAGCCCACAGGCAGCAGGCCTGAGCGTCCAACCCCTACCCCACCACTCCTGGCCTCACACGTCCTGCTAACAAAGCATCCCGGGGCCGACGGGGACGGGCAGCCCTCGGCCCACTGTACAGGACCCCAGGTAGCTTATCGAACAGGAACATCAATAGAACATCAATTAAAGAGCAGCTGCACCTCCTCTCCCAGCCAACGTGCACCACCATCAGCCAGGCCCCTCTTCCTCTGAGGGTGGCCGTTACGGCCAGCCCCAGCCAGGCGCTCATCGAACCTCTCAGTCCTCTCCTCGTACAAATGGAAAGCTTTGCAGTGACGCGCGGGCCCCGGGTCATTGTTCTCCCGTCTTTCTTATTAATATTGCATCTGTTTTGCCCTCTCTGGACGTGGCCACGTGGGACTGCAGAGAACCCTCAGGGCACCTCTGCCTGGCCCTAGACATGGGTGCGAGAAAGGCCTCAGAAGCCGCTTCAGGGAAAGCCGGCACCTCTCTAGGGCCGCCCTGCACCAGGCAGCTGTCTGCCATCCAGTGCATTCTAGGGACACACCTAACCTCAAGCCAAGCCCGAGGCCACCATCTCAGCACCGCCCCCCAGGATGGCCCTGAAATTCCCCCAGGTCCAGGTGCATGTTACCCCCTTGATGCACAAACAGCCAAATGCAGCTCTACCCTAAAGGGGGGCACCCGGGAGGGGCTGGAGCTCACCCACAGCCAGTCTGTGACCACCATGTCACAACCTAGAGAAAGCAACAGGAGCCAGGGATGATGACCCCAGGAGGGGCCTGGGCAAGCCTCGACCCCAATAACACCCCCACTGCACACAGGTCCCGCAGAAGGCCCCACGCAGCTGCAAGTCCGAGGCCAAAGCTGTGTCCGCCTCCCCCACAGGCCTCGGGGGGTCAGCAGCCCCAGGGCACCTGGGAAAGGTTTGTCTGAGCTGCATCTGCTCACCCCTGGGGGGCCGCTGACGGCCATCCTCCTCTTGGGCCCCTTCGCTCGGTAGAGGAGGCATCTGGCTGTGGCCCCGGAGCTGTGCCTGGGTCATAGGAAGCCAGTCAGACATGACACAGGGCCTCTTCACGCCAGTACGATGCTGCTTGGGATGAGGCCGTTCAGGGTGGGCCCCCGCTCCTGCCTTTAATTCCTCGTCACTGCTCAAGCTCTGCTGCCCGGAGACAGGCCCCAGCGGGCCATGTGTTGTCAGAGCCCGGAAGGAGGGCTAAAGTTTCTGCATCTAGAAATACTGTGTCAGCCCCGCAAGCCCTTCTGCAACTGCCTCTGTTCATGTGTCTTGGCTGGGAGGAGTTCCTGGGCCTTGGGACAGCTGTTTGCAGACAGTCTCTTTGGGAGACGTAGACGGACACACACACACACACACACTCTGTCTCACACACACACACACTCTCACACACACTCTGTCTCTCACACACACACTCACACACACTCACACACACTCACACACACTCATACACACACACACAGAAACTCCCAGGCTGGAAAGAGCAGGGAGGGCAGGTGTCTCTGGAGAAAAGATTCCCCGGCCAGCATCAAGGACCAGGGCTCCCAGCTGGCCTTTCCTCAGTGAGATGTCACCCCACAGGCTGGGAATCTACCACCAGAGGCCCTGCTCCCCACCCAGCCCCATCCTCTCCATACACCAGGGGCCCTGCCCCCCCCACCCAGCCCCATCCTCTCCATACACCACGGGCCCTGCTCCCCCCACCCAGCTCCATCCTCTCCATACACCAGGGGCCCTGCTCCCCCCACCCAGCCCCATCCTCTCCATACACCAGGGGCCCTGCTCCCCCCACCCAGCCCCATCCTCTCCATACACCACGGGCCCTGCTCCCCTCACCCAGCCCCATCCTCTCCATACACCAGGGGCCCTGCTCCCCCCACCCAGCTCCATCCTCTCCATACACCACGGGCCCTGCTCCCCTCCCCCAGCCCCATCCTCTCCATACACCACGGGCCCTGCTCCCCTCACCCAGCTCCATCCTCTCCATACACCAGGGGCCCTGCTCCCCCCACCCAGCCCCATCCTCTCCATACACCAGGGGCCCTGCTCCCCCCACCCAGCCCCATCCTCTCCATACACCAGGGGCCCTGCTCCCCCCACCCAGCTCCATCCTCTCCATACACCACGGGCCCTGCTCCCCCCACCCAGCTCCATCCTCTCCATACACCAGGGGCCCTGCTCCCCACCCAGCTCCATCCTCTCCATACACCACGGGCCCTGCTCCCCACCCAGCCCCATCCTCTCCATACACCAGGGGCCCTGCTCCCCCCACCCAGCCCCATCCTCTCCATACACCACGGGCCCTGCTCCCCCCACCCAGCCCCATCCTCTCCATACACCAGGGGCCCTGCTCCCCACCCAGCTCCATCCTCTCCATACACCAGGGGCCCTGCTCCCCACCCAGCTCCATCCTCTCCATACACCAGGGGCCCTGCTCCCCCCACCCAGCCCCATCCTCTCCATACACCACGGGCCCTGCTCCCCCCACCCAGCCCCATCCTCTCCATACACCAGGGGCCCTGCTCCCCCCACCCAGCCCCATCCTCTCCATACACCAGGGGCCCTGCTCCCCACCCAGCTCCATCCTCTCCATACACCAGGGGCCCTGCTCCCCCCACCCAGCCCCATCCTCTCCATACACCACGGGCCCTGCTCCCCCCACCCAGCCCCATCCTCTCCATACACCAGGGGCCCTGCTCCCCCCACCCAGCCCCATCCTCTCCATACACCACGGGCCCTGCCCCCCCCACCCAGCCCCATCCTCTCCATACACCACGGGCCCTGCTCCCCCCACCCAGCTCCATCCTCTCCATACACCAGGGGCCCTGCTCCCCCCCCCAGCTGGAGCCTCTAAACTCTGTGGTACGGTGCTCACTCGCTCACTCCGCCTCTTTTGTACATTTCTCTTTCACTCTGTACATAACTCCCACTGTTAACCACGCCCTGTCCTCCTGGGCCACTTTGGGAGACTGGACACACGTAGCTGCCTGTCTCCCGTGGAGCATAGGAGAGTGTAGTGACGAGGAGTGTTTAGGCAGCACCTGTGGCTGGGCCTCCCCACGTCCAGAGGTCAGACCACCTTCAGGCTTCGAGTCTGAGTCACATCTGTGTTCCCAGTGCCTGGCGGGAGGCCAGGCCCGGCACTCCGAGTTTGTGGAATGACTAAATGAATATTTCTACCTGGAGGTGGTCACAGCCAGTGTCATGGGCAGCCGCCGCATGCCTGGAAGCTTCTTTCCAAGACGCAAGATGGAATTTGTAGCCAACAGCCTGCTGGGTGCGTCCACCGGACTCAAACCCATGCTCAGTCCCCCACTTCTCCAAGCTGGAAAGCCAGTGCCGGGTCTCCTAGGCCAGGTCAAAAGGGTTCAGCCCTGCAAGCGCCTGAGACCTCTTCTTCCAACGCCCTTGTTGACAGATGGGTACGCTGAGTTCCAGGAGGTGAGGGCACTCAGTCAGGTCAAACAGCAACAGTGGCTACGCCAGGCCCGTCGCTCTGTGGCTACGTGGTGTTTCCTAAAGCCGCACCGTTCCGCTGACCGTGCCAAGTGCAGGTACCGCCTCCCGCACCACTCTTCGCCTAACACACGTGCTTTCAGCATTCAAACGTAATTACACCAAAAGCACGAGAATAACAAAAGTAACTAAATTGGACGTCCTAAAATTAAGCTTGTCCTTCACATGATACCACATATGTGGTAAAGGTCTTGTATTTAGAACATGTAAAGATTTTTTTTTTTTTGAGACCGAGTTTCACTCTTATTGCCCAGGCTGGAGTGCGGTGGCGTGATCTCGGCTCACTGCAACCTCCGCCTCCCGGGTTCAAGCGATTCTCCTGCCTCAGCCTCCCGAGTAGCTGGGATTACAGGCATGCATCACCACGCCCAGCTAATTTTGTACTTTTAGTAGAGACGGGGTTTCACCATGTGGGTCAGGCTGGTCTTGAACTCCCAACCTCAGATGATCCACCTGCCTCGGCCTCCCAAAGTGCTGGGATTACAGGCGTGAGCTACTGTGCCTGGCCAAGACGTCTTAAAACTTAGTAACAAAAAGACAAATACCCCAACTGAACAAAATGGCAAAAGCTCTGAATAGACATTTCTTTAAAGAAGACACGTCAATGGCCCGTGCCCACATGGAAAGACACTCCAATATTAGTCACCGGGACGTGCAAGTCAAAACCACCACAAAACCCCCCTCCACCCCCACCGGGACGGCCGTCATCAAAAAGCCAGACAACAGCACACGCTGACGAGGAGGTGGAGAAACTGGAACCCGGGAACGAGCTCGCAGGGTTACACAATGGTGCAGCCGCTGCAGAAAACGGACAGTCAGTTCCTCAAACAGTTAAACGCAGTTATCACGTGATCCGGCAACTGCTCCCCAGAATACATCCAAGAGAGCTGAAAATACCTGCCCTGCAAAACCTCATACACGGTTGCTCAAAGCAACATTATCCTTGATTGTCAAAAGCGGAAACAACTCAAATGCCCGTCAACAGAGGAAAGAATGAACAGCCACACCTTGGAATATTACTTAGCCATGAAAAACAGGGAGGCACCTATGCGTGCTGCAGCACCGATGAGCGTTGGAACCACGTGTCAGTCACAAAGGACTATGCAATGCCGGACTCCAGAGCCTCAGAAACGTGTCACTCACAAAGGACTACGCAGTGGACAACTCCAGAGCCCTCCATGTCACTCACAAAGGACTACACACTGCAGGACTCCAGAGCCTTGGAAACGTGTCACTCACAAAGGACCACACACTGCAGGATTCCAGAGCCCTCCATGTCACTCACAAAGAACTACACACTGCACAACTCCACAGCCCTCCATGTCACTCACAAAGGACTACACACTGCACAACTCCACAGCCGTCCATGTCACTCACAAAGGACCACACACTGCAGGACTCCACAGCCCTCCATGTCACTCACAAAGGACTACACACTGCAGGACTCCAGAGCCTTGGAAACGTGTCACTCACAAAGGACTACGCAGTGCGTGATTCCATTTGTATGAAAATCCAGAATAAGTAACTTATGAATATCAAGAAGCAGAAAGTAGGCTAGTGCTTGACGGGGGCTGGAGGCGGACAAGGGGGTTGAGGAGTGATGACAGAATGGCGAAGGATTTCTCTGTGGAGTCACGGAAAACGGGCTAAAATCAACTGCGGTGATGAACGCACAGTTCTGAGCCGAAAGCCCCCAAGCTGCACACTTTAAGTGGGTGAATCGCATGGCTTGTGAATTATATCTCAATAAAGCTGACTTTAAAAAAAGAACGTAAATATCTTAACGTAACCCTAAAGCAAAAGCACCCAGGAGCGCTTGGGTTGATGTGCCGGCTACGTGCTTTTCAGCGACTATTAGAAACGGAGACCCTAAAACTTCCCCTGGTGATCCCGCCCCCCACACGCTGTGCAGCACCCCAGGCTGGCCCCCACCTCACCGCCGGCCCCTCACCTACACCCTCTCACCGCACATCTAGCACCTCGGAGGAGAAACACTGTGCTCTCTAATTCACGACGTTGTACTAGGAACTCACCGAGCCGTGATGAGCGCAGAGAGCAAAGTCCTTTACTAAAGAAAACTTTTTTTTTTGAGACGGAGTCTTGTTCTGTCCCTCAGGCTGGAGTGCAGTGGCGTCAGCTCGGCTCACTGTAACCTCCACCTCCCAGGTTCAAGCGAATCTCCTGCTTCAGCCTCCTGAGTAGCTGGGATCACAGGCACAAACCACCACACCCGGCTAATTTTTATATTTTTAGTAGAGATGGGGTTTCACCATGTTGGCCAGGCTGCTCTTGAACTCCTGGATTCAAATGATCCGCCAGCCTCGGCCTCCCGAAGTGCTGGGATTACAGCTGCGAGCCAGTGTGCCCGGCCTTTAAAGAGAACTATTAATCATGGATTTTAACTCATTAATGCTATGGTCATGAACCACAGCTGCTTTCGTATGCAAACCACAGCCTCTGCGGAAGAAGAAACGATCATCCCCCAGGCCCTGGGCACAGCCCCCATAGGTCATCAGGGGCGCCACTGGCTGCAGGACCTCCATCAATGACAGATCCAGGCCCCCTGGTTTGCAAAGGAGGGTCGGGCACCAGCCAACGCCCTAACCTGACCTGGGGGGCGGCGGTGAGAGGACCGAGCTGGGAGGTTTGCAAAAGGTTCGCACACGCCCGCCCGCCTGAGGTGTGGGGTCCCTGCCTCCGCCCGCCACGTGCCCTGTGGGAAGACGGAGTCCCGGACCAGCCTCTGGACGCCACGGCCTTGGACGTATCCTTTCCCTTTCCGGGCCTCAGTTTCCCCAACTGCAGCAGGCTTCTCAGGCCTGTTTCCTGGCTATGCTGTAACCCGGCCCCCACCTCCCCGCTTAGCCCACGCGTCACACTGGCCTCCCCGGGTGACAGCACAGCCCTGCCCAGCCCATCCGTCAGCAGCCTCGGCCTTCAGGCAAGCTGGGATGGCAGGGCCCTGACAAACGGGTCCTAGGGAGGGGGCTCTGGAGCCTGGCGCCACCTCTGCCCGCTGCAGGACCATGGGAGGTCCCCTGACCTCTAAGGTCAGCCCCTCATGTGGCCACGCTGGGGACGTGGGGTGCCCATCACGGTGGGGGGCTGGGGAGGTTTGGGGAGGCCTGGGGAGGAAGAGGTGGAGGAGGTGAGGTGGAAGGTTGGGGGCAGGCCGGGAGGTTGGAAGAGGCTGGGGGAGGTCTGGGGGAGGTTTCGGGAGGTTGTGGGGAGGCTGGGAGGAGGCTGGGAGATGTCTAAGGGGAGGCTCAGAAAAGGCTGGGAGGGTGGAGGAGGCTGGGGGGAGGTCCAGGGAAGGCATGGGAAGGTCCGAGGGGAGGCTGAGGGAGGTTGGAGGAGGCTGAGGGAGGTTGGGGGAGGTTGGCGGAGGCTGGGAGGAGGCCCAGGGGAGGCTGACGGGGGAGGAGGAAGGGAGAAGGCTGGGGGAGGCGGAGGGTAGGTCGCGCACCCTGGGCTTAAGGGGACACTGGATCCTGGTCCAGGAGGGTCTCTACTTTCCTTCTCTAAACCCCAGTTCTCTCGTCTTTACGCAGCGGTAAGCGTCACCTCCTATAACTCACAGGGCTATGTGAGGATGGACAAACATAAAGGCTTCTGTATATAAACCCCAAGCACAGGCCGGGCCCACAGCTACCGAGTGCCCACGAGACGCCGGTTCCCGCAGGGCCTGGGTTAGAGCAGCGGCTCGGTAAATGTCACCGTTCTCCAACCACAGCTGCACTTTCCACCTCCTCAGAGATGAGAAACGGGGCCTGAGGATTCACACGGACCATGAAATAGGGGCCGGACAAGCTGGCGCCCAGGAACACTCTGCTCTCTGCGGACGGGACACAGCACTCAAGGTCCCGTAGCTCGGCGTGACGGGGCCACCCCTCCAGGGGATGCTCCTGAATGAACCTGGAAACATTTGCGAGGCTGAAAAATGCTCCCACAGGTGGGAGGCGGGAGTCTGCCTCCCCCAGCCGTGCCCGCGGCTCGAAGCCAGCTCAAGGGAGATGAAGACGCCGCCATTCAGCGACTATTCCACTCCCATTACTGCCAGCGGAAGGGTCCACGCAGCACCAGGGGAAGCTGCCCAGGCTCATTTGTCTCCTGCCCACCCCCGGCTCCACACCACAGCATCCTGAAAGGAGGGGTCTTCAAACAGCTCCTTCACGTAACCCAGGAGACCCTCAGGTCTCCGGGCGACGCCATCTCTCCTGGCTGAGCCTCCTCAACCGGGGCAGAGGCCACGAGAGGCCCAAGGAGGCTGAGTTTCACATCCACGCACAGAAACGGGGAAGGAAGTGCTTGTGATCTCAGGCCCCCCGCAGGGCTGGGCCGTGAGACCCGTGGGGGCAGCGGATCAGCTCCCGTGCGTTCATCCCACCCCTGGTAGCAGCCCTCAGCCCCAGGCCCTGAGCTCTGATGGCCTCCGTGTAATTTTGGTGAACGGCTGCTCCCCGGCCCTGTGTGAGCGTGTGAGCGGGGATGCCCTCGGCCCGGGCTCAGGCACGGGGCTGTGACTCATCCACCGGCTCCCGGCAGCCCCGGGTCTGAGGCAGGACTCGTGGGTCTTGGGGGAAGACCGGGGCAGGGCCACCTCCCTCGGTCGAGTCCCTCCAGGACATCTGTCCAGAGAAATGAGAGGCCCAGAAACCGAGCCCAGCTGCAAACATCTGCCTCCAGCCACAACTTGCAAGCAGGCAGCTATATTTTGTTTTACCTGCAAAGTATATGAAGAGCTTCTGAATTAGTTACCACCAAGATTAAAACAGGAAAAAAAAATCCATATTTCTGGCTTCTCTAGAAAGTTGGAAATCAGGCCAGATGGCCAAGATCTAGTGAGCTGACAGGCCGCTGGCCCCTTCCTGTGGGACGCCTGCCACAGACCCCACCCAGCCCAGCAGCCTTCCTGGGGTGGCCAGGTGTCCACACACCCCTCACCACGAGCTGTCGCGTGCCACGGAGCGCTGTGTTATCGGTTTTGGTGACTGACACAGTTTCTATTTTATCCAGATCAGGGCACACTGTCCACTGGACCACATCCAGCCCATTTTGTTGCATAAATGAAGACTTATTAGAACTCAGCCTCCCCCATCACCACGTACTGCGTCTGGCTGCTTTGGGGCTAGGACCACCCGCTGAATAGTAGGGAGAGACCATACACCTGCAAAGCCTGAAATAGCTGCGTCCGGCCCTTTGTAGCAAAGGTGTGCGGGCTCCGGAGGCCTGCTGGGAAGGTGCGGACGTCACCTCTTCCAGAGAGGCATTCTTTGGTGTTCACATTCCAGGTTACTTGTTTAAAATACAAATGCTTATTCTCACAGGGTAAGAATAACCAGCAGTAGGTTTTCCGTCCTATAAAAAGGGAGGAGGTGGGGAGGCCGTGGGAGAGGAGAGAAAATGAGGCCACCTCTGTTGCTCGTTTGCCATGACGGGGAGAGTTGAGAGTGGTCACCCACAGTCTCCCCAAAACACCCTGGGAGGAGACACGGCCATCCCCAGCAGAAGCCCGGCGCCTGCTCGCCTGCAGCTCCAGCTCCTCACGCCCCAGCCCACAGGCCTCGGCACTTACTTCATGGGTTTGAACAGCGCTTGCCCGTAATTCTGGAAGGTCATGATGAGCTTCAGCTGCGTGCCCCCCGACTTCATGGCTGCAGGAAGGAGGGAGAGAAACAGGGTCACTCTCTGGCCTCACGCCCCTTCTTCTCCTGTGCGGACGAGGGCTCTTGGCTGCAATCCGGGTCCTCTGGGCATGGTCCAGGGGTCCCACTCTGCCTGGGAAGTTTGAGTTTTCTGCAGTGAAGCTCTCGCCTGGCTGATGGATTCTCTGCCTGATATTCAGGGTTGAGTACTGGGGTAGATCTCTCCATGCTGACCACAGACCCAAGGGCCTGACCCCTAGAAGGGACGGCCAGGTGTGCTTACCTGGACACACACGTATAAGCCACCCACATCAGCACACACCCCACACAGCCATGTACACACCCACACCCATGTACACACACCACACCCACACACTACACATCACACACACCTACATACACTCACACACATGCACCCACAGACACAGGGCCTGACTCCTAGAAGGGACGGCCAGGTGTGCTTACCTGGACACACACGTATACACCCACACACATCAGCACACACCCCACAGTCATGTACATACCCATACACACCTACACACACCACACCCTACAGTACACACAACACACACCTACACACCCACAGACACAAGGGCCTAATCTCGACGGGACGGCCAGGTGTGCTTACCTGCAGGCAACACCTCAAACACCCACTCACATCAGCACACACCTACACACCAACAAACACCAACCTACATTTACACACCCACAGACACCCCCCGACACACCCCTACATACCCCTGCACGACCACACACACCCACGCACCCCCCTGCCCCTGCCTAAGAACGGGGAGTGGCACCTCCCGCCCGCGTTTCTGGGGAGCTACAAGCAACCTGAGCAGGGTGACTTTGGGGAGACCTGGGGCTGAAAGCACCTGTCTCATGCGAGGCAGCTCCCGCCGCTCCGCAAGGACTCGCTGGGGTGTGGAAGCCTCCAGTAGCCTCCCTCCAGCTTTGGCCACCAGGAGGCTCAAGAACTCCCAATGGGACCCTCCTCCCACCACCTCGGGATTTCCTTTTTGCTGGTGGAGAAGGAAGGGGGCTCCGGGGGGTTCCCACAGCAGGGAAGGGGCTGGCCTCGGCCTGGGGCAGCCCCGGGAGCTAAGCTGGCCACAGCGAGGGCCTCCAGGTCGCCCGAGATGGGAGATTGTCACGCGCTGTGGACCGGTAGGTCCGGGCCACGCGGGGGATTGTCTGGTGTGAGGGGGCCTCACGGGGCCACACCAGGGACTGGTCACACGTCAACATCACGGGCCCGAACAAGAGCCGGGCATCCCTGCCGGCACAGACGTAAATGGAACGTGGTGGGGTGGCATATGCGACTGCTCCGGTGCAAAGGGGAAGAGGGAAGCGGGGCGGGGGCCCTGGGCGCAGCTCAGGAGCAGCCTCCCTAGGGAGCTAACATTTGAGCTGCTCTCGGAGCGAGGGGCAGGGCTGGCCCCGGCCCCACAGAGGACGGCATGACCCAGCAGAGGAAGCAGAGCAAACTCGGGCCCTGAAGGAGACAGTGAGCACGTGTGCGGGGCCAAGGGGACAGTGACCGACGCCTCACAGTGGATACGTGTGCGGGGCCGAGGGGACAGTGACCGACGCGTCACAGTGGACACGTGTGCGGGGCCGAGGGGACAGTGACCGACGCGTCACAGTGGACACGTGTGCGGGGCCGAGGGGACAGTGACCGACGCCTCACAGTGGATACGTGTGCGGGGCCGAGGGGACCGTGACCGACGCCTCACAGTGGATACGTGTGCAGGGCGGAGGGGACAGTGACCGACGCGTCACAGTGGACACGTGTGCGGGGCCGAGGGGACAGTGACCGACGCGTCACAGTGGATACGTGTGCAGGGCCGAGGGGACAGTGACCGACGCGTCACAGTGGATACGTGTGCGGGGCCGAGGGGACAGTGACCGACGCCTCACAGTGGATACGTGTGCGGGGCCGAGGGGGCCGTGACCGACGCCTCACAGTGGACACGTGTGCGGGGCCGAGGGGACAGTGACCGACGCGTCACAGTGGACACGTGTGCGGGGCCGAGGGGACCGTGACCGACGCCTCACAGTGGACACGTGTGCGGGGCCGAGGGGACAGTGACCGACGCGTCACAGTGGACACGTGTGCGGGGCCGAGGGGACCGTGACAGACGCGTCACAGTGGACAGTGAGCACGTGTGCGGGGCCGAGGGGACCATGACAGACGCGTCACAGTGGACAGTGAGCACGTGTGCGGGGCCGAGGGGACAGTGACCGACGCGTCACAGTGGACACGTGTGCGGGGCCGAGGGGACCATGACAGACGCGTCACAGTGGACAGTGAGCACGTGTGCGGGGCTGAGGGGACAGTGACCGACGCGTCACAGTGGACACGTGTGCAGGGCCGAGGGGACCATGACAGACGCGTCACAGTGGACACGTGTGCAGGGCCGAGGGGACCAGGGCCAACGCATCACAGTGCACGGGAGGGTGCAAAGGTGGGATGGGGGCTGGTGAGCCAGCAGGTCTCAGGGGGTCCCAGGGAAAGGGAAGGGCGGCCAGCGTGGGGCAGCAGGGCATGAGGGCCCCACACAGATTGTCCCTGGCTGCTGTTGCTGCCCTGGAGCCAACGGTGGACACTGGAGGTGGGAGAGGCTGGGGCTGCGGCAGCTGCAGGAGACGGTGGTGGTTTGGAGGAAGATGGAAAAATGGAAAAATCCAAGAAATATCTGAGGATCTGAGAGGTATCTGGTGGAGTGACGTGGGATGTGGAGCAGGGGGACGGCCAGAGAGGGAATGTCATGGAAGGAAGACGGAACCCAGCCAGCCTGGGATGACGGAGACGCTCCAGGGACCTCACGGCTCCTCCACGTGGCTGGAGGGCACGCGCGTGTGCTGAGGGCGTGGAGCTCGGGGAGGGCCCAGCCCTGCAGGAGATGGCGGGATGGGGGAGCTGCCTGCAGATGGGTTTGTAGGTTTGGTGGAAGAAAGCTCAGGATACTCCCTTCAGACGGGAAGAACTGACCCAGAGGAACCGAGGTCTCAGGTGGCGGCTGGCTGGGAGGGAGGGTCAGCGTGAGGACAGCGGGCTTCGTGGGGGGCCTGGGGGTGCCGTGGATGCTTCCCGAGGACACTGAATCCTCCAGGAAGGCCAGGAGCACGGGGGAGGGCGCAGACGAGAAAGCAGAGTCCCCACCATCCACAGGGCTTCACTTGGGCACAAGGGAGGAGCTGGTACTGGCCCCAGGCAGGAGGGAGATGGATCCCAAGCCCGGCGCAGCCACAGAAACCGTCGACGGGCTCCGACGCGACCTCAGGGCAGTGTGCTCGGCCTCCTGCGGTGTCTCTGAGGGGTCTGCACCTCCCGCCCCTCCCCTCCTGTTAAATGGGGCCCAGTGCCCGAGTGCGGCGGCTCATGCCTGAAATCCCAGCACTTTTGGAGGCTGAGGCAGGAGGCTTGCTCGAGGCCGAGTGTTTGAGACCAGCCTGGGCAACATAGCAAGACCCCATCTCTACCAAAAAATTAAAAAATTAACTGGTGTGGTGGTGTGTGTCCGTGGTCCCAGCTACTCAGAGGCTGACGTCGTGGCGGTGCGTGTCCGTGGTCCCGGCTACTCGGGGGGCTGACGTCGTGGTGGTGCGTGTCCGTGGTCCCGGCTACTCGGGAGGCTGACGTCGTGGTGGTGCGTGTCTGTGGTCCCAGCTACTCGGGAGGCTGTGGGAAGACTGCTTGAGGCCAGGGGCTCAAGACCAGCCTGGGCAACAGAGACCCTGTTTCTAGAAAACAATGGGGCTCAGGACGTGGACGCCTGTCCCGCCTCCTTTCCAGGGTCCTGGTGAGTACGGTGGTGCCTCATGTGACCTGCCAGAAACTCGGCTGCTCCTGCAGAATGGGGGTGACACGCCTCATCCAGGACCACCCTTAGGACTACATGGGGGCAATGCTGTGAGTGCTCAGGACAGCAGTGGCGTGGGGGCTCACCACGGCAAGGGCCACAAGAGTGCCACGTCCCCTCCCCGAGCACCGAGAACAGCGGCAGTGTGGGGACTCACCATGGCCAGAGCCACACAGGTGCCACTTCCCCTCCCTGAACACTGAGAACAGCGGCAGTGTGGGGACACAGCACAGCGAAGGCCACACGAGTGCCACATTCCCTCCCTGAGCACAGAGAACAGTGGCAATGTGGGGACTCACCATGGCCAGGGCCACACAGGTGCCACTTCCCCTCCCTGAACACTGAGAACAGCGGCAGTGTGGGCGCTCACCACGGCAAAGGCCACGCGAGTGCCGTGTCTCTTCCCTGAGTGCTGAGAACAGCCGCAGTGTGGGGGCTCTCCACAGCGATGGCCACTCAAGCGCCACGTGCCCTCCCCATTTCTGATGGCTCTTGCTGCCCCTGAGCTCACAGCTCACACCCCGGGTCACGTGCCCATTCCCTCCAGGCAGCGTCTGCTCCAGCCACTACCCTGTCAGGAACCACGTTTGACAGGCCATGGTCAAGACTGGGGCTGGGCTCAGTGCCCTGGACCACTGCGCAGTCAGGTCTGCTGGTGAAACTCTCAGAGGCCGTGCCCTCCTCAGGTGAAGGAAGCAGCAACGAATCTCATTTCTCTCCAAAACACTGCACAGAACCTGAACGCCAGCCTCAGGCGGGCCAGCAGCTCGAGGCTCCGTAAACGGGCTCCATCCCGGCTTCTCACCGGGTACCGGGGGGTTTTCAATGACAGCAAACAGCGTATGATTTTACCAGTAAGCAAAGCAGCCTATTAAAAACTTAGACGCCATAACCATTTTCTTCTGAATACACTGCACGGATTTTTAACCTGGGATGCACGGATGGGCGCCTGAAGCTTGGTAGTTTTCTCCCAAAAGTAAAACCGTGGTTGACTTTAGTTTTCTGTTTTTTCCTTAACTGTGCTTTCTAAGTTTCTGCAATGAATAGTGACTACATTTTTTAGTAAGATAATAACGAAGTGACGATGAGAAAATTAGTAGCCGGATTAAGCCCCATTTGATGCCCCCATTTCCATTAGTAACTGGGGTCACAGGATTTAACAGTTCCTTCCTGGCTCAGGTGCGACAGCTCATCAGCTCCTTCCAGGGCTTGTAATCCCGGTTTGTAAAATAACAACATATTATCCAAATCTGGTCAGTTCAGTCCTTCTTCGTCTGGAAGCAGGTCCTATCTTCCTGGCCCCTGTGCTCAGCTGTGAGGCCAGCTCCTCCCCATGGAGCAAATAAACAATTAGAAATTAAAGGCATGAAGATCTCACAGCGACTGAGGACTCGGCTTCCTGTGGACCGTGGGCCCACCACTCAGTCTACCAAGTGGGTCTTCTGCTGAAAGACATTTGGAATTCTGCTCTAAAATCAGATACAGTCTCCTTGCAAAGACCGACACACAAGCTGCCCTGCGTCTCAGGCCTTCGGTGCTCATCGGGATGGGTGGGAGGTACAGACGCCCACCCTCCTGTCACTGATCGGGTCACCCCTGCCCTCCCACCCAGGAAGGGGCCAGCAGGTGGCAGAGCCAGGACACAGGCCAGGCCTTGAAAAAAAGGTGCAATTTTGGGTTTTCTTGAAGATAGACCAAAGTTCACGATGCTTGGAAAGCTCACCTCATTGGTGGGAGAAGCCCAGGCGTGTGGGCACAGGTCCTGGGGACGGGACTGACGGAGACGCCCTCCCAGATGCAGCCTCCCGTGCCTCCAGTGGACAGGGGTCAGTCAGAGCCTGCCCAACCCCAGCCTGGGGAGGGACCCACTGAGAGCTGATCCCTCTGATGCCCATGAAGCCGGCTGAGGCGGGGGCATCCTGGCACAGACCCCAAAGTCACCCCACACCGTGGACAAGTCTCAGAGACTCACCTGCTAAGCCCTCTCCCACCTACCACCTTCCCTCCATCTCCCTCTACACCTGCCCCTCCCCTGAAATCCAGGCCATCATGAAACCAACAGCACAATCAAACCCCAGTGGGCCTCTAGGCCCCAATTCCCAGTGCAATAAAAACATATCATGCAAATCTGGTCAGTTCAGTCCTTCTTCTGGAAACAGGTCCCGTCTGCACTGCTCTAATGGCCACCCGTCCTCGCTATGCACACAGGAAGATGTCCACGGGCCCCATTCCCCAGTGCAATCCCACCCAGCAGCCACCCATTCTCTCTATGCACACTGGAAGATATCCATAGGGCCCCCCCATTCCCCAGTACAATCCCACCCAGCAGCCACCCGTCCTCGCTATGCACACGGGAAGATGTCCACGGGCCCCATTCCCCAGTGCAATCTCACCCAGCAGCCACCCATTCTCTCTATGCACACTGGAAGATATCCATAGGGCCCCCCCATTCCCCAGTACAATCCCACCCAGCAGCTACCCGTCCTCTCTATGCACACGGGAAGATGTCCACAAGCCCCATTCCCCAGTGCAATCTCACCCAGCAGCCACCCATTCTCTCTATGCACATGGGAAGATATCCATAGCGCCCCCCCATTCCCCAGTACAATCCCACCCAGCAGTCACCCGTCCTCTCTATGCACACAGGAAGATGTCCACGGGCCCCATTCCCCAGTGCAATCTCACCCAGCAGTCACCCATTCTCTCTATGCACACTGGAAGATATCCATAGGGCCCCCCCATTCCCCAGTACAATCCCACCCAGCAGCCACCTGTCCTCTCTATGCACACGGGAAGATGTCCACAAGCCCCATTCCCCAGTGCAATCTCGCCCAGTGGCCACCCGTCCTCTCTATGCACATGGGAAGATGTCCACTGCCTTTCAAATAGGTTCTCCCCATCTGGAACGCTCTCCCCTTCCTGCCACCTGCCCTGAGCACCTCCCACCACTTAACCCACCAACTTTAGACCAAAGGTGACAGTCTGCTTCTTCCCCGGCCTCGCTGAAGAATCCTATCGCCCGGATATCCGTCAGTATACAGGACTCATTCCTATTGATTCATCATTATTAATCTACGTCACTAGTTAACATGGCTAGTTAATGTGATTAACGTGCACTAGTTACACAAGTTAACATGCACGAACAGAGTGCCCTGTGCCTTCATTATTTCATGTTGCTGTCAGCACTAAGAGTTCGGGGCCACACAGACCCTCGGACGCCACTGGGTTTTGCCCACAGTCTCTCCCCGGGTCACAGCACGAGACAGAGGCGATGTTCGTATGCAGTTGCCTCCTCAGAAGGACTCCAAGAGATGCTGGCATTTCTTATGAAATAAGCGTCTTACATAGAAAGATGGCTGCTGTCACAGAAATACTAATGGACTTTGGTGCCAGGCCCCAATCGGTGTGGCCTTAGGCAAGCCACATAACCCCAGACAGCTCCGGCAACCCACTGGGAAGCTCTAGAAGGAAGAACCCAGAGCAGGTCTGGAGAGACAGGGAGAGACGGCCCTGAAAGAGAGAGGTGTGTGGCCCGGGCCTGGGGGTCCCAACACCCCGCAGGGTGCTCATGGGGATGGAGACTGGGTGCAGCCACCACTCATCCTTGGTTTCTCGTGGGAGCAGGAACCCTTTCTAACAACAACCCCAACCTGACTTTAAATTAACCAGTTCCACCTCCTACAGACCTGTGGACCACAGAAACACATCCAGGTGTGAGATGCTGCCGTCAGCGTGGGCCCCCATGTTGCCGCCTTTGGCCCTGGTCATCTCGTCCGTCAAGAGGGCCAGCGTCTGTCCTTGGGGGTCACGGTCAGGCGGTCCCCCTGCTCTTCACAGCCACTGTCTGGCCTCAAGGGTCAGTTATTCCTGAAGACGAATGGGGACAGCTGTGTGTGCTGGAAGTAGGGCCTCACCCAAAGAGGGCTCAGATGTGGAGAATGTGACACCGGGAGAGCTCAGGTCACCCTGTTCTTCCCACCGCACACATCTCCAAGCCAGAGAGGTCTGCTCGGTGTCCCAGACCCCGGGTGCCCACACCCAGGCTCATATACCCATTCACCCTGGGCACCGAGGGACCTGGTTTTGAGGAAAAGGACATAGTTGGCCAGCAGTGGGCACCCTGGGGCTGGCATCAAGGAGGCTAGAACTGTGGGAACCTACTGCGAGGTAAGGGGCTGGAAGAGCTGGGAGCCTGCACCTGCTCTGGACCTGGATCTGCCAGTCCTCGACTCTCCTGGAGGCCTCAAGTGACAGGCAAGGCCCCATCAGCACTGCCCAAAGTCCCGTCCATCACACACCACCCTCAGGACACTTTCGCCAGAACCGCCTCCACCCCAGACTGTTATTTATTCCACGATTTTCTTCAAGGCCCCTTTTATTTTGAAAGATCTGTTTTTTAAAAGAAAACTGCAGCCTTGCCCCAGTGGGGACCATGTCTGCATCAGAAGGAAAGTCGGCAGGTGCGCATCGGGGCACACTCCTGCAGCTAGGGGGCTGCTGTCTCTGCTCAGCACGGGGAGGCCGGTGCCTGGGTGGCCCCAGGCCTCAGCAGCATGAGCTTTTGCTCCTCACCTTCCACCAGACGGCTGGGAAGGGAGTTGAGTGCGGACTGAGCTATTTGCCGCCTCCTCCAGGCTCCACTTGAAATCGTCCTTTGCAGGTGGTCATTGTCCTTCTTTCAGGATAACCCAAGGTCCCCCAGCCCTGGGGCCATGGGCGTCCAGCTAATTGGGCATCTTCCCTTTTCTCTCTCTAGGCCGGCCGAGCGAGGCCCTGGGACCGTGACCTGCAGGGGCAGTTGCCACCTGGGGTGGGTGGGAGGGGGAACAGTGGCCTTTCTGGAGCTGGCGCTGCCTTCCAAGGAGCCCTGCTCCCAAGGAACAGACACGGTGGCTGTGCCCTCCCAGGTACCTGCAGGCAGCTCCCTCTCGTGGGCTGACCCAGCGGAAGCCCTTTGTTCCTTGAAGCTCACCCGCTGGTTAGTCCTGGATTCTAGCTGGACTCATTCTTCCCCTTTTGGCAGATCAATCAGTGTCAAGAACTTTGGTCCTGCAGAGTCATTTTTCTTTGTTCAGGCATGTTCTCCCAACCACAGTCTTTGTCCCAATCTGGATGGAGCAATTATGAAGTCTGTATTTCAGTCCAGAAGCTGCCCGAATCCTCACATGCCAGTGGGATGTCATTCATTCTTTGCATCCATAATTGTGCATGATAGAAATTTAATTATCGCCAGCCCCAGCCCAAGGCACTGCATGCCCGATTTCAAGCTGAATAGAGGTAGATAATATCCCAAGACTCTTTAAAGGTGGCAATGGCCGGTTACCAGGCAGCCAGGAGCCCAGCTATAAATAAACCTCCGCTGGCCCTAACCAGCTGTGCTGTAGACCACGTGGCGCTCCATGAATTGGATTGGGTGGTTCTGAGCAGGAGAGATTTAATGGAACCGTTCCGAGGGAAGGCTTTGGAGACTCGCAGGCATCGTTCTCCATTACAACAATATTTCTGGGCTCACGTTTAATAGTAAGATGAATGACTTGAGATTAAAGTGAGCACCCAGGGGCCGGACAGCTGAGGGGACAGAACTCAGAGCCTGGAGCACGCAGGTGCTAATCTCGGACAAGCCTCCTGCCCTAAGAGCCTTGGTTTCCCTCGCTGTGGAGCGGTGGTTGGAAGGCAGGGCTGGCCTTTGAAGGCTACCCCTGTTCTTGGTTGCAGGACCTGTCTAGGGGCACCAGGCTCTAAACCTGCCTGATTGGCTTGGCCACGCCAAGGGCCTAGCCAGAGGCTGCTATCTCAAGCAGCTGGGTCTTCACCCAGATCCTCCAACTGGAAGTTCGTACTCAGAAGGGCCCTCGGAACAGCCGTGGCTGAGTCAGGCCAGCCAGGCAGCAGCAAGCGGGGTCAGCAAGCAGGTCAGCCCCCTTCTAGGACAGATCACATCCTCCTGGCCTAGGCCAGCCCTCTTGTGCCGTTCCCTGCAGACCAGGAGACCTGGACCTGGACATGGAGCAGCTCCCATGGCACACTTGGTTCACAGGTGAGGGTCCCCTGCTTCCTCAGGAAGACAGACCTCTTCACAAATGAGAACTCACCTGTGAGCATCTCCAAGCCCAAGGCAGCAGGGAGAATAGGGCCCAGCATCTAGACTGAGACCCTCATGAGGCTCAGGCACCTGCCCAGCCCTGGCTTCCCCAGATGAGAAGGATCAGCCCACCTTGAAATGCTGCTGCTGTACAAAGACCCCACCCAGTAGGAGAGCTTCCCCCAAAATGCTGCAGTGTTGGAGACCCTGCCCAGCAGGTGCGCTGTCAGGCTCCGCTCTCACCTCTTTACTCGTATTTGCACATTTAAGCCCCAACAACCCTGTGAGGCCAGATGTATTTGGGAACTGCAGGTATTTCGATGACAAAGGCACACGTGGTGCATGGTGTGGATCATGGCATGCCCACACGGGTCTAGGGCAGAACCCCATAATTAAACCCACTCCTGTTCCTCAGAGGAACATGTGACTATTCAATGTAACAGAGAAAAATCAGGACTTTTAACTAGCCTCGACAATTTAGGTTTTGCCCCTAAATACGTTCAGCCTGAGTCAGTTTTCGCTAGTGAATGGGTTTTGCTTGGCATTCAGATTTGTAAGTCAGAGTCCAGATTATACCAGGTCCAGATTATAACCTTCTCTGTGTTCTCGGTGAGAAACCAGGTGCTGGAGGCGTTAATCCATTTGCCCACTTCCACTCTGGCTAATGGCTGGCAGAGCCAGGATTCACCCCCAGATCTCCTGGGCCAGAGCCTGCTGTCCTGCCTGGGTGATGCGGCTGTGTCTGCCCATCGTCCTTGCAGGCCCTGCTTGGCCCTGCAGAATGACTGAGCAGCCAGCCTGTCCTTGGACGGGTCCCCACCCCAGAAGACTGGATGAGAACCAATGTGGCCAGCATGGTCTAGGAGGCGAGCGAGCGAGATCAGCTGGGGCAGGCCTTCAGTAGGCACAGGAATTAACCAGGACACACCCAGGCGGAGGCCACACCAGAATCCTGGGGTAGGGATTCCCTGGCAAGGGCTCTGTCCACACCCCTGCAATGTCAGGCAGCCTGGGCACCACTGCCCCGGGACAGCTGGACCAAAGAGGGGTGGCAGTGAGCCAAGCCTAGCTTGTCCAGATGGACAAAGCACTCCTAAGGTGGGCAAAGATGCCCCAGGTCCCAGGGGGCCCCACACTCTCCCTGAAGCTGCTCTGGGAGCTCCTGGCACAGAACTCCCACACCTCTTCAGTGTTGGTGTTGGAAAGCTGACCGGTCGGTGAGGGAGGTGGCGAGCTGCAGTTGCCTGCCAAGGGCCTGGTGGCCTTTGGAATCCACAAAGCCCTCCCTCTGCTCAGACCCTGCCTGTGCACACGAGGGGACTGTTGTGGAAGGCCACGCACAAAGTACTAGTTAATATTTAACAAGCTTGCTCACATGCACATCTCATCCTATCCTTGCATTGGTCCCACGCAGCGAGATCCCACTGGACAGATGGGGAAAATGAGCTGGAGAGAAGCTCATACGGACAGCGGCACTGGGGACTTTCTAACTTGCGTGCTGCTCCTCCCGAACGCCCTGGCTGGTGTGCACGGCTCTCTCATTCCTCTCCCTGCCAAGACGGACCCACCTGGAAGGTAAGCTGCCCGACAGACCCTGTGGAAGGTCCTCAGCCCCTCCCAGTGGAGCCCCCTCCTCTCCACACGGCCTGGCTGGCGTGCACGGCTCTGAAGTGCTCGTTCCTCCTCAGGATCGGGCACTGTGCGTGTGTGTCTCTTCCTGGGGCTGTCAGGTCCACAGAGGCAGCAGATCTCGTTGAGGCTGAACTCATCCTCAACTCCCCACCACCCAGAAAGGGGGTCTGACATGCAGGAGGTGCCAGTAAAATCTGCTGAATGGACAAACATGTTGATCAATGCATCGGATATTTCCTTAATGGCCATGCTCACTCTCAGGGGCAGAAGGGACGTTCTGGCTGTGGCTGTCTGCAGGACTGTTCCCCAGCACAGCTGAAAGCCCTCAGACCGCTGCAGGGGCAGGAGAAAGGCAGCGCTTTCACGGAGGGGGGCCTGGAGGGGGGCAGGGGTTCAGGTTACTCCCAGGCAGCATGGAGGGAAGAGGACTCCCAGCTTGTCCAGCTGATCTCTGTTATGAGGTGAGCTGATCAAGGGGTGGGGAGAGAGCTGCAAGTTCTGTCTCCCCATGACCAGGTGAGTGCCCAGCAAACAACTCAGCACCCGGCAGAGAGAGCCAGAAACAGCCCCGAAGAGCTCAGGAGAACCTACCTGCTGGCCTGAAAGGGGACACCTAAGTCCTGTGTCAGCAACTGGACAGAACCCCAGGCTGCTGGGACCCTTTCAGCACCAAGGTTGCTTCTGAGACACACATGAAGCTAATGCCTGGGACTGCTGGCCTCATCACACAGCGCAAAGAAAGCCCTGCCTTCAGGCTGTCATGGCCTCTGCACCTGCCCACAGCTGTGTGCACCCAGGCCCACTCCCTGCAATCCCCGGGGAGCAGCTGCTCCCACTAAAGGGCCTCAGCCCCGCCCTCACTACCTCTCCAAGCACTGGTGACAAATGGGACCTTCACAAACAATCGCCTACAAGCTGAGAACAATGGCACCAAACCTCCACGCTCAGAAGCTGCAGTGGCATATTTTCCTGAAATCAGCAACTGGATGCCCTTTTTTGTCCAATTCAGCAGATCCCAAAGTACCTGGAGATGTTGCCTTCAAACTCCTCCATCTGGGAGGCCCAGGCCTCCGTCCTGAGCCCTGCCTATGTCTCCTCAGTATGAAACTGCACAGCGCCTTGCTGAGGTCTGACGAAGGACGGCTTCAAAACCACAAGAAGCAGGCTCATGGCTGTCTCCCCACCCAGCCAGGGTCGTGTGTAGAAAAGCAGGAGAGTTCCATGCACACGCTTCCGGTGGAGGGGTCACCGCCGCCAGAGATACCCCTCTATTCCTCTACCCCAGGAGGGAAGGACTCTGTCATCCAGTTGGCACCCCCGGGACCACCCAGGTGAGGACGCAGAGCGCAGTGGACCGGCTGTCCAGGCGTCTCCCCGCTCATCGTGCGGCAGATCAGGAGCACATCCAGTGTGAGAGCACACGAGACGCGAGCCCTCTGTCCCTCCTCGCTGCCCGTGCAGATTGCTGCAGGAGGTGACGCTGCCGTAATGAGCAACGGCCTCCCAGACCTCTCTAACACATAGCCTGCCCCAGCAGCCCTGATGCCACACAGCCGGCACACAGACGGCCCTGAGTGCACCCAAGGACACCTACCCACGCTGGTGATCCTCTGGGAGCTGAGGTCGTGCAGCAGGGCCTCGATGGCCGGGTTGTGTCTGGAGTACAGCTCGTACCGGTTGATACCAATGTGGAACTTGAGCCAGTTGGGATAGGAGTCCACGGCCGCCTCCCCGGGGGAGAGGAATTCTGCACCTTCAGCACCCGCATGCGGCCTGCAGGGAGCAGCGAGGACGAACATCAGCATGGAAAGAACAGGCCCGTGAGTCGGATGACGGGGAGAGGGCACCGACGCCAGTGTTTTTAACTTTGGGTTCAAGCAAGTGCAGATGTGTTGAAGGCGCCTCTGCTTAAAGAGGGCCCTGCAACGTCTGCGCTTTCTTCTGTGGCCGCTCGGCTGCCAACTAATAACACGGTGAAAGGCCTGTAATTCTTACTCACCCTCTGGAGACACCACAGACAGCTCTAACTACAGCAAAACTAATTCCAGGACGTCAGCGCTGCCCTGCCATCCCCGCCACGTCTGTCCCAGGGTCACCGAAATGGCCCAACCATGACCTCAGCTGAGGGTGCGAGGGGCTGTGGCCCTCCCCTGGAGTAGAGGGGAGAACCTACCATTGACCACAGGCTGCATGAAACTCACAGACACGCCCAGTCTGTCAGGAACCTTCCCCAGCTCTCTGCTTTTGTTCCAACAACCAGGGGCACAATGATGCAAGAGGCTAAATTTGATTTTAATGAGAGCAGCCTTGGGTGGGGAGAGAGGAAGGAGGCAGCACTCTCTCCAGCCCAGGCTCCCATGGAGGACCCGCCGCCCACGCAGCCTGTCCTCACATCTCTGGGGTCAAGGGACCGTTCTGGAGGAGGGACAGACCCTCCGTCTGCCTGCTGGGCTGGAGGGAAACGCGGAACTTGTCCTAGCTCGAATTCACCTAAAGCTGAGGTGCTTTCTGCCGAAGCTCTGTCCTGCGGTGGACACGGGGGCGGGGTGGGGGGCTAGGATACACTTCCTGGCCACTCGCTGCTCTGGGCGGCCGTCTCTCCCTGCCGAGAGCCACAGCCCAGGCCAATGCTCTGGTTCTCAAATTTCCAAGCATTTCCTTGAACCTGACCAGCAGGCAAGGCTCAGAGGCTTCCAAACAGCCAGTGTGTTTAGACAGAAGACACTGGGCCTGGACATTTCAGGGAAGAAGGGACTTTCAACCAGATCTTTTGGAAGGCTGGTCTCCCCCTCTGCTGCTGGGGTAACCTTCGGCAGGTAGTTACTTATTCTGGCCTTGTCGTGGTTAATGTTCCACTGCTTCGGTGTAGCATCTGCTTGTTTTGATCTGTGTGGCGGAGGGAGGGGCCGGGGGGTGGGGAAAGGGCTTAGCCAGGACAGTTTAAAGAGAGGTTCCTGCCGTGGCTTCTCGCCCTTTATCGAGCCATCATCTCTTTGCAGCCAGCACACCCACCGCCCTTGCTGGCTGGGCCGCCTTGTTGCACCTCACGGCTGCCAGCAAGCCCCTCTGATAATTCTGCTCCAGCCACTGGGTTTAAAAGACTCAATAGGCACATCCAGACCTTCTCCAAGGTGCCCACCCAGAGCACCCTCGCCAAGTGTCTGAAAGCCCAGCGGCAGCCTGGCTCCTTCCCTCACCAACTCATTCATTCATTGCCTGACCCCATTTCCCAAGCTGGTGACCACGGCTGGTCAGGACTCGCTTCTAAAGGGCGCGGGGTCTGGCTTCCTCACCAGCAGCCACAGGGCACAGCTCCCGGACCAGCCGGCAGCCCCTCCCAAGGAGGAGGTTATTCTGGAGACAAAGGCAGCGCCCTGAGGTAGGCGGCTGCCTCCTCCCGCACCACACTCCCTGCCCGGCCTCTTCCATGGGGGGCGGCCCTCTGGGGCCCCTGAACCTCTCTACACCATGCCTTGGGCTCACGGCTCCCTTGGGGGTGGGCACCTGCCAGCCCCCACTCACCAGTCCGGGTTCTCCGCCGCTTTGGGGCTGAGCCTGGTGTCGCTGTTCACATTGAACAGGACGTCCTCCTCCGTGAGCGGCGGAACCGCCACCCGGTAAAGCGGGTGCTCGAACAGCCTGGCCAGGAGGGAGGCGTCTCCGCCGGGGCCGGGGGGCGACTCGGACCGACGCGGGCCGGGGTCTCGCAGCAGCGGCCGGTGCGCGGGGTCGTGGGGTCTTAGGGCGCCGGGATCCCGCCCCCGCAAGGCGCGCTCGGCCGGCTCGGCCGCGGGCGGCAGTTTCTCCAGCGAGTGGGACGAGAGGTTGGAGGAGGGGTCGGAGCTGAAGTCCTGCAGGATGCGGAGCGTGTGCTTGTTGGGCCAGCCCGCGTCGCCGGCGGCGGAGGAGGCGGCCGGGGGCTCCCCGGGGCGGCCCCGAACCTGGGCCCAGCCGGGCGCGGCCACCTCGGCGGCGGGCTGCGCGCACGAACAGCCGGGCTCCCCCGAGGGCCGCGCGCCGCGTCGCTCCAGCCTGGGCAGCAGGTCCAGGGCGATGTGCAGCGCGCAGGCCACCAGGAACACCATCAGGATGAGCACGCGGAACCGGCGCACCAGCATCATCTTCATGGCCGCGCGGGCCGGCCCGGGCCTGGAGCGCGTTCTGCCCGCGCGCCCCTCTAGCTGCAGCTGGGCACGAGCGCGGCGCCGCCTCGCGGGTCAAGGTCCATCGGTGCCGGGCGGCTACCAGCTCCGGGGCTGTCCCCGGGCCCGGGCCGCGTGCAGGGCGCCCGCCGCCGGAGCGCTGGGTCCCCGCGCCATCTCGGGCCCGTCCCCGCTCGGCCTCTCCGGAGCGGCCGCGCCCTCAGCCGGGGAGCCCAGGGGTCCTGGTCCGCGGAGCCGGGCGCGCGGGGGGCGGCTGGGGCCGCAGCAGGGGGAGGCTCGGCGCTCGCAGCCGCCGGCGCGGGGCTCATCGGGCGTGTGGGTCCATCCCGGCCGGGGCGCGACGGGCCTGGGCGGTGGCGGCGGCCGCAGGCGTCCCGATCCTCAGCGCGCTCCTCTCCAGGCGCCGGGCGGGCGGGCGGGGAAGGGGCGGCTCCTCCGGGCCGGGCTCTGCTCTCACGCCGCGCCCGGGAGACCGGGGCTGGGGGGAAGGGGGGGGCGAAGGGCGGAAGGGGTGGGCGCGGGGAGCGGCCGGCGGGGTCCCGGGCAGGTGCAGCGGCCGCCCCGAGCGCAGCTCCCGCCTGGCCGAGCCTCTCGGCGCCCCGCGTCCCGGGCGGGCAGATATCGAGCGCCGCGGAGCCGCCCCCCGCGTCAGCGCCCACAGATTGGCGGAGCCGCCGCCCCACGAGTCACGGCTGGGCCCGGGCCGGCTGCGCTCCCGCTCTCCTTCCTCCTCCCCTCGGCCGCGCCCCGCGACGCCTCTGAGCTCCGGGCCCGCTAAGGAGAGGGCTCCTCCTGCCCGCGGTTTGCAGAGGGAAGCGGCGGAGACCGGGAGGGCGCGCTCGGTTCTGGCCAGGCCAGCAGCTGCGGCCGAGTGGGGGGCTCCGGCCTGGCCGCTTCCTGGGACCCCCTCCCGCCCGGGGCCGCCGCCGCCAGCTGCAGCCTCTCGGCTCCTCCCCAGAGGAGCGCGGGGCCGGGGCCCAGGCCAAGTCCCTCCCCGGAGCCGCGGGGCGTCTGCGCCGCCGGATGAGCTCCCCGCCGGGCGGCGACCCCGTGCCCCACGCCCGTCTCGGCAAGGAGGAGGCGGAGGCGGCCCCGCGAGAGAGGCCCAAGGAGCGACTGGGCCTGGACCCAGGGGACGCCAGGGCAGCGGAGCTCCCGGCACCGGTCCCGTCCCCCCCCCCCCGCCCACCCGCGGGACGCGCCCGCCTTAACCCTCCAGGCGCCGGGCCCGCTGGGGGCGCTGAGAGGGGCTGGTGTGCCGGGGGCGCCTTCCTGCTTGGGGCCGACGGGGGTGTGTGAGTGCAGGCGTGTGCGTGTGTGTGCGCATGTGTGTGTGTGGATGTGCGTGTGCGTGTGTATGCCTGTGTGTGTTTGTGTGTGCGTCTGTGTGCATGTGTGTGTGCACATGCATGTGTGTTCACGTGAGTGCATCTCATCTGTCACCCACAACCAGGGGAGCGGTGCTTGTACAACCAGCTGGTGGCTTCTGCAACCAGCAGCTTCTGGCCGTGCAGCTCCCTGTAGGGAATATGAGTTAATCTGGATGTCAGCCTAAGATGTAGTCAGGGAGGTAAGTGTGTGGGAGGAGGCCACATCCCCTGTGCCTCAAGCCGGCTGCTTCCACAGTGCCCAGACTGCCTGGGCCAGCAGCCTCGCCAGCAAGCCCAGGCGGGTGGGCCGGGAGCAGGGCCTGGGCCCCCCCTCTTACTTTCACCGGCTGGCTGTGTTACCAGGGCCCTCTCCGCCCTCTCTGAGCCTCAGTTTCCTCTGATGTGAATTAAGGGCGTTGAGCCCATTGTTCCTGAGGAATCACTCATCTCTGAGCCTGGCCCATTGCCTGGCATTCCGTGGGCACCCACTAGATACTTATAAGGGGAGAAGTTGTTCCAGTCCGGCTGGCCAGTGGAATCCATGCGTCTTGGGCCATTTGAAGTGAGTGAAGGGCTGGGTGCGGCCCACCTGGAGCTGGACTGGAGGCTGTGTTGGGTGGGGCGGTGTGACCTGGAGGTGGGCTGCCCCCTCAGGAGACAGCTTCACCCCTGTGAGTGGACCTCATCCTTCCTTCCTTCCACTCACATGGACAGCACATCTGTGTGTAGACAGGGTCACTGAGAGAGGCCAAGGAGGGTGAGGAGGAAGATCCCGGGTGTGGGGGGAGTCCTGGGGGAGCAGACAGCAGGGACAGAAGCCTGTGGCAGGAAGGAAGGTCTTGGCCTGTGTTCTCCCAGCAAGGGTCCCCTTGGACTTGGAGTTCTATAGGCTCCTGGCCCCCCCATCTCTCCCGTGGTCTACAGGACCTCGACGCAGAGCTGTGGCTAGTGTCTTGGGGCAGACATGGGGCTGAGCAGACCCCATGGAACACTATTATCCGGTGTGGGGGGCCTCATGGAGGTTCCCTGGGCACTTACTTTCACTTGCCTCCTGCCCCCAACTCCTCTCCCCTCCCATCCTCACCCCCAGAGTGGTTTTTGGGAGCCCGGCAGCTATCTGGACCCGTGTGCACCCCTGGACGCCTCCCTCCCTCGCAGAGGGTCCTGGTTCATCTCGTCTGTTGCCTCTTAGAACAGTGGCCTCTACCTCGCCAGGTCCTTCAGAAGCGCCCCCCTCCCTGCCCCGCCACTGTTTTCCCAACAGCACCCGCCGTGGTCTGAGGACACTTTCTTCTGCTCCTGTTTATTGTTTATCTCCCCCAAGCACAAGCAGTCGAGTTAAGACAGGAGCCTCGTTCAAAGTTCCGCCCGGGGCCAGGCACAGCGCAGGCTCTCAGAGGAGGGCCCAGGAGTCCACAGGCTGCGGCGGCGCGAGACAAAAGTCGGAAGACAGGACCCCGCTGAGGAGTGAGGAGACAGCGGCCAACCCTCCGCCAGACCCTTCCGCCTGGTGCCTTTACTGGGCTCTGAGGAGGAATTTGGTGGTTCAGTCGGCCCATCCGTGGACACCATAAAAACAAAGAGAAAACAGACACACACAGATGCACACATAGATACACACAGATACACACAGACACGGATATATAGACACACACAGATACACACACGTGGACACAGACACACACATAGACACAGATATATAGACACACACAGATACACACACGTGGACACAAACACACACAGACATACCCATAGTTACGGATATATGCATGGATACACAATACACAGACACACAGATGATACATGCATAGACAGATATATGGACACACACACACGGACACACAGATACACACATAGACACATAGACAGACACAGATACAGACACAGGCACATGTAGACACACATGGACATACAATACTCAGATGAACACAGAGATAATATACACATAGACACAGATCTATAGATACACAAAGACATACACACAGATATACATAGATGCACACATAGACACAGATACACATGTCATCACACATGGACACACACAGACACACACCAATACACACATAGACATACGAAGACACAGGTACACAGACACGTATACACACAGACACGCATATATACATACAGACGCAGATATACACACAGACACAGACATACACACACACACAGACACAGATATACACAGATACATGGACAGATACACATTCACATACACACATAGATACACAGAAACACACAGACACACAGACACATAGAGACACACACACAGCCACACAGGCCCTGAGCCTCCCTGGGCCCTCCCTTGTGCAGAGGCGGAGGGGCTGGCTGTCGGGGAGGGCACCTGGAGAGGACACACAGCCCCATCAGAGACCAGGGAGTGGCTCTGGGAGCTCTTTTCGTCCAAAGGGGCTGGAGCTCCAGTTAGCCAAGGTGAGCGCCAGGTGGTGACAGGAATGACATAGGAAAATAAGACGGCCCGGGCAGGGAGGGCTGCCTGCTCTGGGTGTGAGGGGATTGCTGTCTTAGACCACGTGGCCCAGGAAGGCCTCCAGGCATGGCTTTGCACAGAAGCTGGTACCTGAGGGCTCAGCCCCGTGGAGGCCTGCGGGGTGGAAATGCCAAGGCTGGGGCAGGGGCATGTCTGACCCTCTGCGGGGAGAGAAGGCCTGTGAGGTGGGCATTGTGTGAGGGGCCAAGTGGCCTCTGTAAGGTCTGCAGGTGGGGCCAGGCTGTGGGCTGCGTCCTGAGTGAGGGGGCCGTGGGAAGGCTGGGGACAGAGGGACGACGCTGGGTCTTGGGTCGGGAGAGGCTCACCTAGGGGCCGGGTGGATGGGTCTAAGGAGGGCTAAGGGCGGGGCAGGGAGAGCAGCTGTGTGGTGAGGACGAAGGGAGGTCGGCCAGAGCCCCCGGGGAAGGGCTGTTGTCATGTGGATGAGCTGGGAATTAGGAAAGCTTGTGGATTGCGAGGCCTCAGTATGCAAAGCCCTGGGACAGACGGGCCCCCCAGGAATGAGGGGGGCAGACGGGCTCCCCAGGAATGAGGGGGGCAGACGGGCTCCCCAGGAATGAGGGGGACAGATGGGATCCCCAGGAATGAGGGGGGACAGATGGGTCCCCCAGGAATGGGGGGGGCAGACAGGCTCCCCAGGAATGAGGGGGGCAGACGGGCTCCCCAGGAATGAGGGGGGCAGACGGGCTTCCCAGGAATGAGGGGGACAGATGGGCTCCCCAGGATAAGGGGGGACAGAAGACCCCAGGCCTGAGGACCAGGCCTGCCCCCTGGCACCACCAGACACCAGGAGGGCACTGCTGCTCTTAATTGAAAGTCTTGGTGCAGGTGAGGGCGTGGAGGATTCCTGGGGGAAGCTTCGTGCTGCAAGGTGGAAAAGACAGATAACAAGAGAAAAACAGAAGCTTAATAGCATGTATACCTTGGTCTGCAAGGGACGGACTCGGGACAGGCTATGTCGCAAAGGCGTGGCTTGGAGCTCAGCCTTAAAGACCATGTTCGACGGAAACAAAGAGAAAGAGTGTGTGGGGAGGGGCCCAAGAAATTACCCCAAACTGGGGTCAGGCCTTCTCCATGGATGAGCGTCTCCGGTGACTTACAGGCGGCCTTCTGGCCCAGAGAGGGGGCACCCTGGTGAGCGCAGATGCCTGTACGGATGTGACTTTCTCTCATAGAACAGCAGCTTCCACTCTTGTTTTCAGAATTTCTCCTGTGGTTGCAGTTTCTCAAAATAAGCAGCTCAAAATAATGCTTATGCCAAAGAGGCATATTTTGGGGTGGCATATTCTGGTCTGCTCTACGTGGAAGCGGACAGAAAAATGGGGCAGAGGCCAGGGAGGGGAGCGGGACCGACTTCCAGTTCCCAGACCCGAGCAAGGGAACCTGAGGCCGAGCTCTGGAGCTTGGGGTCTGGAAGGGGTTCTCTGAGGACACTCTGGGAGTGGGGGAACAGCTGCCTCCTCAGGTTTCCCCCAAGGGATCCTGCCTGGGGAGACCTGGACTGGGCAAGGCTTGGCAGCTGCCCTGCCAGGAGGAGGGAGACGGCTGCAGTGGGGGGGTGCAGGGTCGCTGGGGTCCCACCCGGGGGTGCTGGGACCGGCCAGAGGACACTGCGATTTCCCAATGGGCCAGGAAGGAAGGAGGCGCTTTCCAGGCAGAGCATGACCCCGCACAGGAGGCAGAGACAGAGTCTCTGAGTGTCCCCGTCAGGTCCCTGGGACTGTGGCAGGGGAAGAAGCCGCAGTACCTCCTGCCCTTTAGGACAGGAGAGGTTGTCGTCCCAGCGTTGCCCAGCAGCTGGTTGGAGCCCAGGGCTCCTCAGATGAGCCAGCGCCTGAGCCCTGAGCTGCCAGCTGGCCTGGCTGGAGCCGCCACTGATCTTCCCAGGAGAAAGAGGCCGCCGTGCGTAAGTAGCGAGGTATAAGAGGACGTGTAGAGCCGTGTCGCTCGCGCAAGAAGGGGAAAGAAGGAAGCCTGTCTGCATGGCTGCGCAGGGGATATTGGAACAGAACTGAAGGAACTCATGCAACGCTTCTCTGTGAAGGGGGCACCGCGATGTATGGACAAGGGTGGGAAAGGGATGCTGGGCCATAAAGTTTGGGGTGCGTGATGGTGTGGAGGAGAAAGCCCTCCTGGGAGCTGTGGCCAGGGAGTGTGCAGTCCACGAGCAGATGGAGCTTTATGTGCCTCCCACCTCCTCCCAGGGGCCCCCCACGACTCGCTGAGGCCCCATCAGCAACAGGATGACGGGTTTTCTTTCCCACACAGATCGGGGACGTCCCAGCCTCCTGAGGTGGGGCAGAGGCGGGCACCGCAGCCCAAGAGCTGGCTTTCCCCCTGCACCTCCACCCATGCGTTGGCCTGGAGTGGCCCAGCGGAGGGTCCAGGTGGGGGTGCTGGAGGGGCCCACCCAGCTCAGGCCTGGCACCTGCACCTTTCTGGATCCCACGATGTTTTGCTGAGGGTTACTCATCCAAGACCTGCCCGGAGGCTCCGAGCTGTTTACCACAGGCCAGCTCTGGCCGTAGCCTATTCTGGGAGCCTGGGGGTGCTGGGAGGAGGCTGGGGCTCTGGGTGGCAGGAGGAGGAGAGCCGTCTTGTCCTTACTGAGCGTCCAGCGGGCGCCAGATGCTGCGCCGCGTGCAATTCTAATCCTGGCCGGCAAAGCCAGAACGGGACAATATTCCTTCCTCCCCAGGCCTCCCGCTTGGCTGTGGGTGCTGACGGGCAATGGGCCTGGCTATCGGGGCTCACAGGGGAGCCGGGAGAGCCGCTAGCAGGAGAAAATGTGAGCTCTGCATCTGCTGGGCTGGGTTCGGGGGACGCGGGGTGGCTGGGGAGGGTCGTGCTCGTCCCTCCGGCTGCTGTCGCTGGCCCGCCGGCCAGTCCGCCCCAACGCTGGACTCCTGGGCTATCCGTTCCCCACCCACCGTCTGAGGGTCTTTGAAAATAGAACTCATTCGTTTTCATTAAAAGCAACCGATCAAGAAGCCGAAAACACAAGAATAAAACAATGTAAAAGCTTGACTTTATTTTGTATCCGTCAAACACAGGACTCACAGTCCGTTACACATGGAGCATTCGCAACACTGATCATGTTCTGATGGTCACACAATGTCGGGAAATTCCAAAAGGCAGATAATCTAGAGTCTGTTCACGGCATCCACACACACACACCGGTGCACAGGCACACGAGCACACAGTCTACAGATTGTTCGTAGACACAGTGTGGTATAATGAACAAAAGCTGGCTTTAAAAATAGTTCTACCTGGGCCCGGTGCGGTGGCTCACGCCTGTAATCCCAGCGCTTTGGGAGGCCGAGGCGGGTGGATCACCAGAGGTCAGGAGTTCGAGACCAGCCTGACCAACATGGAGAAATCCCGTCTCTACTAAAAATACAAAAATTAGCCGGGTATGGTGGCGCATGCCTGTAATCCCAGCTACTCGGGAGGCAGAGGTGGGAGAATCGCTTGAACCTGGTAGGTGGAGGTTGCAGTGAGCCAAGATCACGCCACTGCACTCCAGCCTGGGCAACAAGAGAGAAACTCTGTCTCAAAAAAAACAAAAATTAGTTAGAAGGAAGTGGGTCAGATGTGGCCCCTACGGCCTCTCAAACATAGAATTCTTAGTTCTCTACCAAGAAACTACTTAAAGCAATGACCAGACTTCCAGGCCTACATATTAGTTATATGAAAGAGTCCAAAAAAAGTCCAGGGGCTGGGCTCACAGGGGCTCACACCTGTCATCCCAGCACTTTCAGAGGCCTAGGTGGGTGGACTGATTGAGCTAGGAGTTCGAGAGCAGCTGAGGAAACAGAGGGAGACCCCATCTCTACAAAAAATAAAAACATGAGCCGGGCGTGGTGGTGCGTGCCTGTAGTCCCAGCTTCTCAGGGGGCTGAGGTGGGAGGATCTCCTGAGCCCAGGAAACCGAGGCTGCAGTGAGCGGTGATCACACCACCGCAGCCCGGCCCGAGCAACAGCTGGACCCTGTCTCAATAAAAACCCAAAAATCAAAACAGCCAGACCTCTGCTTTCTGACCCTCGTGGGCCCTGTGAGGCCGCAGCCTGAGGGAGAAGATGCCCAGGGCTGGGACAGCCGCACCAAGTTCCTGCCGGAGTCGGGGAGGCCAATCCTGCCGGGGGCCCCGGAGAAGGCAGAGCAGAGGGCACAGCACCCAGGGATTCAGCCGGCCCCGCGTCCTGGGGATGCTACCTGACGGGGTGCTCTGTGCCCTAAGGGGCCCTTGAAGGCAAGGGGATGGGCTGCAGGCCACCGAGCCCCAAAGCCACATCCCCAGACCAGACAGCCCGAGGAACTGGAGGAGGAGGGAGGAGCTGGCCCCACAGCAGACGGCACTTGGCGTGGCCGCAAGCTGGGCCGGCCTTAGCACTTTGCACGCAGAGTCTCAGTGAGTCTTTGCTACAAAGCACACGTTGCTATTATTGTGGTCACTATTTTTACAGAGAAACTTGACCTCTTCGCCAGCCTCACCCATTCAGCCCTATGCTGGGTTTAAGCCATCTTGGAATTCTGGACACTTAGGAACAAGAAGCCCACATCTGCTTCCCAGGGTCCTGCCCTTCCCTGGGGGTCCCCGTGCTGGAGGCAGCAGTTGGGGTGTGGGAAGGAAAGGCCAGCGCTGTGGGAGGGGCTGGGCTGAGGGTGGGCTTGGAGCCAGCACATGGGGGCTAGGTCCGGCTTGTCCCTCACCAGCCAGACGGCACTGGGCATGTCAGGGAATCTCTCAGAGCTCAGTTTCCTGCTGTGGGAGGGAGCTGCTGGCTCTCACCTTGTTGTGAGGACTAAACTAGCTGCCATCTGTGGCCTGCTAGTCATGGGGCTCTGGTCCTCTTGTCACTGGATCTTGGCCTTGACCTCCCCTTCTCTCTCGTGAAGCTGTCGGCTGCGTGGAGACACAGCCACTTCAGTCCTCTCATAAGCCTATGCCCAGCATCTGCCAGGGGCCAGGTCCTGGGCTAGTAACCTGGCACTGGGAGCCCAGGCTCCGCTCTTGTCCAGGGGAAGCTGCAGCCTTGGGAAAAGCAGGTGGGAGACGCAGATTCTAAGTACCTGACCGAGGGACGCCTCGAGGACGTGAGGGAGGCCGGGCACCATCCGTGGAGGGGCCCTGTGAGCGGGCCCAGCAGATAGACAGGGAGCACCTCCATGGAGGAGACAGAGAACCCCTGTGAGGGCCCCGTGGCTTCTGCAGCTCCCGGTGCTGGCTGTGGGTGGTTTGCCGGTCGGCCTGCCTGTAGTTCTCAGTGGCCGCTCGGAAACACGTCCTTTCTTATGAAGACGCAGACGTCACAGCCGAGTTGAAAGGAATCTGAAGAGGATTTGGGTGCTCCTCTGTCACAGCCTAGATCATCGCGAGGCCACGGCCCCCCAGGACAGAGGGGCCCGGGGAGGGTGGGGACAGGAATTGAAGACATGATCAATTAAATCGTCTCCTTCCTCCAATAGGTAGAGTATGATCCTGTGTCCATCAACACTTCCTAACGTGCATGTAGAAGCTAAAATTGTTAAGATTTGCGAAATACTTTTACCTCGAAGTTGGCAGTGACATCATTCTGTTTTTTCCTGGGTGCGGAGGAGTAATTTCAGAAGGAGACATTTTGTAAAATTAAAAGGTATTCACCAAATATTTCATGCATGAGTGTAATCTACAGGTTTGGTGATTAGGGATGAAAACGCATACATTAGACAAAAAAGATTGGATATTTAGAAGCAAATTTGAGATTCAAGTGAGGATAAATTACAGGGAACCTCTTATCAGAGCCCGTACATGCCTGGGTCTGGAGTGAAAGCCTCGGGCTACGGCCTCAGGTGTGGAGGAGGTGGGGTTCTCTCTCCTATTCAGCCTCCCCTTCCTCCTGGGGAAGCTGCTGTGCTGTCGCTGGGGCTGGGCCATTGACTCCCTGTACCCCACCAACCCCACCACCAAAGGGGTCAGTTCAGGCTCCAGCTCCCCCTCCCTCCCCAGCTGTCGGTGCGAGCCCAGCTGTGCCTGCCCTTGGTCCCCACAGGCTCTGTCCTCCGAACACCAGGCTCTGTGTGGGCCCTGGGAGTCCTGGCCCGAGGGGTCTCCCCCTGGGGAGCGCTTGGGAGGGAAAATCCTGCTCTCAGGGTCTCTGAGTCCAACCAAGACAAAACCTGCTCTTCTCAACAGAGGCATGAGCTCCTCCTTCCTGGCAACCTGGGGGATCACAAAGACAGACGGCACCTCCCCAGGCACCTGCGCCTGTGTCCGACGGCAAAGCCATTGTCAAGCGAACCTGATGCTGTCACTGGTCACCCGGAGCCCATCAGCATGTTGACCCGGGGCCCATCAGCATGTTGAAGGCACTTTCTTGCTGTTACAGGGGAGGAACTGCTAAAGAGGCCACCAGACACAGAACACAGTGATAGTTTTAGGTGTAAAATTATTGCACACAGATAAATTCTGGAAACAGCTGCCTAGAAAGTTCTTTATATTGGAAAGTGTGCTTTGAGGTCATTATGCCGGATTTTATGGCCATTTCTTGGCTGAGCCCCGGGATGGCTTATGTCTTTGCAGAAAGGCATCATCACATTTTATGAATGACAGATGGCTTTTACCACACCTTTGCATGATCGCTTATGGTAATAGGACTGCGGTGCCCTGAGACGTGGGGATCTGCGTGAGTGCCCCCGGCAAAGTCTGCTCTTCCGGCCTCGAATCTGGATCCCAGGTGAGGCCTGAGGATTTTATTTCTTCCTCTGATCTCCCTGCCGGCGGGGCCACTGTGGCAGGACAATTCGGGGCCCCGCCCCCCAGATGTGCAGGTGCAGGCCAGTCTCGGGGGGATCGGCGGCTCCCGGGGGGCTGTGTCGGGGGGATCGGCGGCTCCCGGGGGGCTGTGGGATGGTTCCTCTGTCCCAGGGCTCCCGCACGGGAGGGCTTTGCACGTCCACCCCTCCTTTCCTTGGCTAAAGCCTGTTCTTACCAGAAGGTGAAATGAAGACGATTCCTTTTGTTCGGTCCCCTCCACTCCTAAACTCTGTCTAGAGCAGGGGTGGGCTCCCTCCTTGTCTGTGCCGCCCACTCGCCTCCTCGCCTCCTGTCGCCTCCACTCCTGACCCCCATCCAGAGTGTGGGATGCTGGGTTGCCGGTGACCATGGGGAGCCGTAAGGTGAGGGAACCCAGCTGGAGACCAGGGCCCACACCAAATCGTGAGCCTGTTTTTGAAGCTACTGAATGGGTGGAACTTGACTGTTCAGGGGACCCTGGAGGACTCACTCCTTTCCACCTGTGTCTCTGCTGGGTCTCACCTGGCGCCCCTGGCGATACCTGGCTCTGCAGTGGAGCAGTCACCACCGCACCCTCCCCGTAGCTCCATCCCCACGCGTCCAGGATAGCGTGGCCGCTGGTCAGCTGCCGACAGCACACATAAGAAGTCATGGATGGGTCCGAGCGGCTTCCAGGACTCAGCACCCAAAGCAGCCCCGTCCTGACGGTAACAAGCCTGCCCCATGGGGCGAGGCCCTCTCCCCTCTTCCTCAGATTCACCCAACCCACTTCTGTCTGTCAAGAGCAGGCTTGAGGAACAGTCAAGCTTGAGTTCTCTTGGCCTTTCCTGGACATCTGTCCTGAGGCTGCTCTCATTTAAGCCTCACGGAGGAAACCCAAGTTTCTGCAGCAGGAGAGGGGCGTGACCCCAGGGACAGCCGGAGAAGACGGTGTAGAACCAGCTGTCACGGAGCCTGATGTCCGGCCTGGAGCATCAGCCCATCACCTTCAGAGTGGACCCGAGGGCCTCACCTGCCACCTGGGGGACAGGTGAGAGGCGGCCAAGGACCCCAGACGATGAGGGGCAGAGTGTCTGCACTTGTCACCAAAGGCTTCCAGGGAAAAGCGGGGATGTGTGGACAGGAAGGGGCCGGCGGGTGGGATCAGGGCACTGGGCGAGCCAGCTTCCAGTTATGGGGGCTGCGGGCAGGGGAAACTCGAGCCCCTTGCGGCTCCAGCCTTGCCAGGGAGCCCGAGAGCTGGGCTGGCACGCCGCTCTGTGAAGGGCTGGACGGTGTGCTTCAGGCCTCGAGGTCACTCTGCCTCTGGTGCAAACGCTCACCTCTGCCGCTGTGGCCCAGAGCAGCCTTCGACCCACGTGATGAGTGTGTGTGGCTGTGTCCCCACATCTCCTTGTTTATGGATGCTAAAATTTGAATTTCCTATAAGTTTCACATGTCACAAAATAGTCTCTTGATTTTCCAACTATTTAAAGATATAAACATCATTTTTAGCCCTCTGTTGGACAAAAACAGAGGCTGACTTGGGCCCTAGAGCTGTAACTTCTACCTCTGCCTTAGATGACTCTTTTTAAAGCATTCTAGCTGGGCCTGGTGGTTCCCACCTGTGGTCCCAGCTACTCAGGAGGCTGAGGCACGAGGACCTCTGGGTCTGAGAGTTCGAGGCTGTAGTCAGCCGTGACTGCACCCAGCCTGGGTGACAGAGCGAGACCCTCTCTCAGTAACTAAATAAATAAAAGACAAAAAGAGGTAATTTTGTCTGGATATTGTAAATATAGGCTATTTCATGAAGTTTCAATTTATTCACACTTTTTAAAGCGCACTGTGTTGCAGCAGGACTCATACCTGCTGTGTAGCTCAGAGTTTGTGAGTTTCCTCCTGGACTTGGAGACAGCTCACGTCAGTCCAGCCCCGGCCAGGCGATGGACAAGGCCGGCTCTCCTAGGTGGCCCTAATATCCGACTCTCTAGCTCACTCCACTCAAAGCACCCGGGACGGCCCCTCTTGTGGCGGGGGAGCCCCCAGGGAGGCTGAGGCCGAGGGGGCGGGTGCCAGCTGTTGCCCAGCTCCATGTGTGAGAGGCGTGGATTCTCCAGGTCAGGTCCGCTCCAACAGACCATTCCACAAGGAGCTGGTGTGACCTCCGAAGCAGGGTCCTGGCAGGAGGGGTGTACACGCAGGGCTGGCCCTCCCTGGGGTCCCCCTGACGTGGGCGCTCCTGGGTCTGGGAATGTGGGTTTGCTTCCCCCAAGGGATCTGTTCTGTCTCCTCCCCTGCCTCCCTCCCTCCTCAGGGTGGGCTTCAGGCAGCAATCAGCTGCCCAGGGCCTGCCTGACCTCCACCCCCTGCACCAGGGACCTGGGGCTCCGGGGCCCACTAGGCACAGAGGCTCTCCAGCCGGGCCGTGGCCTGCCCCCTCCTCCAGTGTGGACCCTCCGGACAGCTCATCCCCCCGCAGGCCCCTCCATTTGGAGGCCCAGGCTGCTGTCTGCAGGGGCAATGGTCTGTGATGCCAGTTTTAAAGTACAGGATTACAGAAATCCTAAAATGTGGATTATTTCTGACCATCAGAAACCACACAAGCTACATTTGCTGAAATCCTATTGCTCTCAAGGGCTGTGGAAGAGACATAACCCGAACCTCAACCCTAACCTGGGAAGACCCAACTGCGACCCATACAGGGCTCTGGGGACCCGAGGCCTTGGTTCGTGCCGGCCACTCGCCTAGTGCTCCCTCCAACCACCCTTCCTGGAAAACTCTTACCCACCCTTCAGGAGCCTCGTCAGATATCACCACGCCTGTGAGCCCTCCTTGATGGGTTTGCTTCTCCTCCTCCCGGGCGGCCCCACGGCAGCTTGGCCATCTCACACCTCATCCTGGGCCAGAGGCCTTGAGAGCTGGGACTGCCTCACCCTCCCCTGTTGTCCCAGCCCACAGCCGGCGTTGCAGAGGGCCCGGCTCTCCCTCCCACTGTTCCCCGCTGCCTCTGGACCGTGTTCTCCCTGTCTCCTGCCCTGTCTCTCCCTCCGCTCCTCGAGGCACACATCAGCTCAGCCCCGCCTAAGCTCCTTCCCAAGGACAGCTTTGGGACCTCTTGTCCCAACCAAATAAACCCTGAGAGCAGCCAGCTACCACTTCCTGCCGCTGCGGCTTCATCTGGGACAGAAGAGTCCACGGAAGCAGCTTCTCTTTTCTTGGACTCCGGCAAAGGGGTCACTTGAGGCTGCAGCTGGAGCCGGTGTCCCCGAGGAGTCGCCGGGGAAGGTGCTTCCCAGCAGATCTTGGGATCACTGTCAGGAGCTTGAGAGGAGCCAACAGCGGCTAAAACAGCGATTTCTACAAACGTCACAATTCAGCAACAGGCCTGCTTCTGCCAACACTCGGGCGGCCGCTGCTGTTCCTGCCTGGGTCCGTTTTCCTTTAGACGCATCGTCCGGTCCGCACGAATCTAACAACCCTGACGGTTGCAATCTGCCGTGGGAGATGGAGCTTCTTACCTGTAAAATATTAGTGCTTAAAACCACAGCTGTGGGACTGGTGTGTAATTCCAGCTGCCGCTGCCCACCTGTCATCACGGAATTCGGAGATCACGTCTTTCCCTCCGCATCTGGACTCTACCTTTCGGCTGCCTCTGGTCTGGGGGCCCCTCACGAGGGATCCAGACACAGTGGGCAGAGGCGACGTCAGAGCGGCTGCCCCCGCAAGACACCTCCTGGAGGCCTGAAGCCTCGCGGTTCTTAGACGGGCACACGGGGACCTGGGAGTGAGCGTTTGCTGAGCGCCTGCTGTGGGCCTGTGCCCGGCCTCTACTCACTGTCGCACGGCAGCAAGACTCCCCGCAGGCGGGTGATCGCGTCCCACCTAAGGCGAGGAAACAGGCTGGAGGACACGAATCGGGGGTGCGATGCGGCCCCAGAGCCCGCCACCTCTTGCAGCATGGAGGGGCCTGCATGCAGAGACCACACCGTGGCGGAGGCCGCATCTGGGGCCGTGAGGGGACAAGCCCAGCTGCACCATCCTCCTGTACTTCCTCCTTTTGAGTCTGGCCTTCGGGAGGGAGGACAGTGGATACCAGGCCTCAGCATCTTCTCGGTTAAACCGAGGAGAGACCACGTCGGGGTTTCTGCCCGTTTCTACAATCCGAGCAGGACGCTGCCTTCCCGACCTCACACTGAAGTGCACAGTCCCCTCCTCACCACTGTGGCTTCAGGGACGTGGTCGGCATTCCCTCTGTGTGGCCTGCTCGTCCTGGCTCCGCGTGAGGGTTCCATCCCTGAGCCCGGTACTGCAGGACGCCCCAAGCAGCGGAGGGAAAGGCCAGTGGTCCTGGCCCACGGGGAGCCTGGGGTCTCTGCCTTTGCGAGCTCTGGGGCTGGAAGCCTTGGTTTCCTCCTCCATGCACAGGAGCACACAGGGAGCCTGGGGTCTCTGCCTTTGCGAGCTCTGGGGCTGGAAGCCTTGGTTTCCTCCTCCATGCACAGGAGCACACAGGGAGCCTGGGGTCTCTGCCTTTGCGAGCTCCGGGGCTGGAAGCCTTGGTTTCCTCCTCCATGCACAGGAGCACACAGGGAGCCTGGGGTCTCTGCGTTTGCGAGCTCCGGGGCTGGAAGCCTTGGTTTCCTCCTCCATGCACAGGAGCACAGAGGGAGCCTGGGGTCTCTGCGTTTGTGAGCTCCGGGGCTGGAAGCCTTGGTTTCCTCCTCCATGCACAGGAGCACACAGGGAGCCTGGGGTCTCTGCCTTTGCGAGCTCCGGGGCTGGAAGCCTTGGTTTCCTCCTCCATGCACAGGAGCACACAGGGAGCCTGGGGTCTCTGCCTTTGCGAGCTCCGGGGCTGGAAGCCTTGGTTTCCTCCTCCATGCACAGGAGCACACAGGGAGCCTGGGGTCTCTGCCTTTGCGAGCTCTGGGGCTGGAAGCCTTGGTTTCCTCCTCCATGCACAGGAGGAGATGCACATGGTGCAAGACAGGTAACCAGGCCTGCGAAGAGTGGCTGCCTCTAAGGTGCTCAGTATCGGGGACCGGCTGAGGGAGGGACGTGGTCGGTGTAGCAGGGCAGGAGCCAAGACGCCTTGTGCAGGAGGAGTTCCCTGGGAAGTGGAGAGAAGGTTTAGAAAGTGAGGAAAAGGCCAGAGGCAGCAGGTTGAGTGTGTCCAGTAACCACAGGGCCTTGGGCAGGACACCCCGTGATGTCAGCCAGGCCTCGGCGGTGCCCTGGGGAGGGAAGGAGCTCGGGGAGGTGGTCACAGACCTCCGCTGAAGGGGGAGGGCTCTGCTCACCACGAGCTCACACACACGCGCATATGGGTCGGCCTGTCCGGCTTATGGAGAACAGCCAAGCCGGGGGCAGCAGTTCCCACCCCTCAGATCACCTGATCCGGCCCAAGGATGAGGCACTGGTTTCCTACCACAGGCACCAGTGGATTTCTTTTCCCAACAGAGCTTGGATGTGGCCAACCAACTGCTCAGCCCACACGCAAGGCTGCTGTTGCGGATGGACCAGATCTGGGGTGATAGCTGGAGCCAACCTACGCGTCAGCTGCACCCCTGAGCCCACGCCCCACCCACCCTGAACAGCTGAAGTCAGTTTTCAAAGCAGGATTCACTGCCTCCCACCTCCCTGCACCTCAGGGAACTGTTTCAGACCCTGGTGGGACCTACCCCGTGGGCCACAGCCTCACACCCGTCCTGGGGCTGGGAGCTGGCAGCATCTCCGGGACACCAAGGAGCCCCCTGACGTGGATGTGGATGAGCTTCAGCTGAATGAGGCGTCCTCCCAGGGCCGGCCAGGTCACCCAACTGACTAAAGTGTGGGGCGGTGGCCGACTTCGTGGTGCTGGCTGTGCTGCTGAGTTGCTGTGGAACCCTTTAACCTTTCTGTGCTACTGTTTTCAATATTTTGAGTGACCCGAACGATTATGCAATGTAAGGTATCATTATTGTAAGAAATTGCATCATTATTGCCCTCCTCCAGGCTGAGAGAGGAAACCTGAAGAAGGCCAGATAGGCTGTTCCCAGTCTTGCCCACCTGAGGGGCAGGACTTACTCACCAGCCTGGGCCTTTCAAGACCTATCAGCCAGCAGCAACGATGGAGAGCCCAAAGGCAGGGTGCAGGGCAGGGAGGTGTGCAGTTGTGTGTCTGGGCAAGCGTGCATGCACAGGTGTATACATACCTGTATCCGTGTGTGGCCATATACACGTACATATATAGACACACCAAACACACAAACGTGCATACATGCCTGTACATATATGTGCCCATATACATATGCATGCACACACTTGCCAATCGCACATGTGTATGCACGTGCACACACACACGTACATGTAAGCAAATGTGCACATGCATGTACCTCACATGCACACACGTGTTTGTGTGTGTACACATACACTGTATTCATATGTGTTCATGTAAACACAGGTGTGTGCATGCCTGTGCACACGCACACACACACAGCCACACACACACAGCCACACACTCCCTTCTTCAGCAGGAACCATGATGCAGATCTTCTGCATACCCATAAGCTAAGCGGGCAGCGCCGGCAGAATCAGATGCCGCAGGCAGCGCCGGGGACTGGTGCAGAGCCTGCCATGGGAATAACATGGAAGAGACAAAATCTAAACACACCCCCATCTCCAAAGCACCCCACACACTCACAGAGGCAGGGTCTTCCTGCTGGCTCCGCTGTTCGGACTGGGGCTGACACCAGGCTCCCCGGGCTCCCAGCCTCACCCACGTGTCCTTCTTCATGACTGTAGCTTGCAACAAAGTCCTTTAGTCTGTTTCTTCACGATTCTCTCCCTGAAACACGGAACTCAAGAAGAAAACGCAGTTTTCGCACCTGAAGACAGAAGTATGACCGCAAGCCTTGAGCTGCATCTCGCATTAAAAAATCAAGGCCCAGATGCAAGGAGACTTCAGCTCAGGGGATGGGGGTAGTTGGCAGCTTCCTCCCACGTGCCGCAGGCGGTGGCCCTCAGCCACGCTGAAGACCCCTGCCCCTCTCTATGGTCCTGGGGGCTGGGAATGCCTCTTGGCGGAGAGGGGCTACAGCAGGAAGCAGCGGTGGTGGTGCATGTACGGGAAAAATGAGAGATGCCGAGACTTTTGCCAATGCAAACCTCTCTGCATCCTCAAGGCCTGTTCCTCCCAGAGCTGGGACTCGTGGCCACCAAGCGCTGGGGTCCTGTTCACCCTGTCCTGGCCCCGCCCTGCCGTACCTTTCTTGCTGACACTAATGGCCTCCCAGGGGTGCTTCTTGGCCCCTCTGCAGGGGAAGGACAGCTCAGGGGAGCGGCGAGGTGGGGTCGTGCCGGGCACACCCAGACGTCTGATCGCCACGCTGGCTCCGGCCAGCACAGGCGGCATGAGGCCCACAGAGTGCCTGGAAGAAGCCCCACACAGCATTGCCAGGTGGAAAATGCAGGGCCCAGTGCCCAAAAAAGACCAAGCAAAGTTATTAGGCCTCAAGCACCTTTCCAGCTTTCCTCTTAAAAAAAAAAAAAGGCAGAAACTTTCTCTCTAGGCCAAGGATAAATTAGCTAAGGACAAATGCAGCCCAATGATCATTTATCATCACAAGCCTGGAGAGGATCCTGGGAGTCCTGTCCTGGCCTCAGGACTCAAGGGCAGAAGCTGCTGCTTTCCTTCATTATTTCTATTTTTAACAACTGCGTTCAGGCTTCCTGCAAAAATAGCAAGAGGTGAGGCCATTTCAAGCACTAACATGCTCCCCTTTTGTCAGAAAACCCCAGGATGCAGGAAAAAGCGGCCAGGACTTCAGCAGTGTGGCACCAGCGGAGCTGAAATGGTCCTTCGCTATGCCCTGATCCCTCGCCCAGCAGTACAGGGGGTAAACTGAGGCCAGAGAGGGCAGGCAGGTGCCCAGGCTCATTCAGTAACTGAGACCCCAGAACACTGGGTGCTGCCCCCTCTGAAATGCAGGGCCGGGTGGCCAGGGCCTGGCTTCCCTTGGTTGACAGCGGGACCTGGTCCCTGCCTGGCAGAGGAGCTGTGAGGGCAGAGCCCCTGCCGCTAGGCATCCCACTTCTCTGCTGTCCACCGTCGCCAATGCACCTGCCTCAGCAGACCCTGAGTTCGTGTGCGTCACCTGGCCCCGCAGAAGCTGGGCATGCTCAGTGTCCCACCACAGGGAAATCAGGACGTGTCCCTTTGGAAGGCAGCTAAGGGGTGCAGAAAGGGTTTGGGAACCTCCTTCGTGCATACCTGTGTGTACCTGTACATGTGGATGTATGCACATGTGTATGTACAAATATACGTGTGAGTGTGCATACACGTGTGCGTGTATGTGTGTGTGTACATGGGTCAGTGCATGTCTGAATGTGCACAGCCACTCCCTCGAGGCCCAGGGAATGGGGCCTCTTTTAAAAGGGCCAGAAGCTCCAGCTAGCTGCCTGCTCCTCCCCACCCAGGGTGCTAGGCATGGGCCCCCCATTCTGAGGGGCTGCACTGAGACTGAGACAACCCTGGACCCAGGCCTTGCCTCTCTACACTGGAGTAACTCAGAGAAGGTGACAGCCAAAATTCACTCCTGGTCTGCCAGGCACCAGGAGGCCCTCGCACACCGCTGCCTCTCCCTGGCATGCATGGAGCCTGGGGTCCCTAACCCTAACCCTAACCCTAACCCTAAGGGTCTTGTTGCACGTCACCTGCTGAGTGTGGCTCGGGAGTGTGGGTCTCAGAGCAGGAGGGGCCCTCTTTGGAATTCACCCTCTGCGAGGCTTCCACGCCGGCCGGCCTCCTCTTGGTGGCTTGCTGTGTCTGGGCCCTGGCCTAGCCCTGTGGTGACCTCATGCTGGGAGTGCAGAGCCTCCCTCAGAGCCCCGGGCCCCATGGCCCCTGGAGAACCTCCTGCTCCTCAGCGATGGGTCCTGGAGAGTCCACAACTCCACTCCGAAACCAGATCCCGGAATCTGAAATCAAGCTCACCGGACCAGTGTGTCCAAACTGCCCCTAAATCCTGTGGCCGTGCCCCTTCCCGACAGACGCCCCGTTAGCTCCCGCTGCAGGCAGGCAGCCAGCGTTCCTGAGGCCTCAGGCTGTCCTCTCTCCGCTCACAGCAGACTCCCCACTCCCTTCCTCGCCCCTCTGTGGGCAAACCAGGCGGCTCAACCCATCCCGTGTTCATTAACTCCCTCGTCTACAGCCCCTGGGGTGGGCTGGCCCAGCCGAGAGAAGGTTCCCTGCGGAGGTCCCTGCCCCATCTGTGGACACAGTGCTGAGACCCCCTCGCAGTCCTCAGAGAACCCAAGCTTCGGCACTGGCAGCGCGGGGCGGGTCCTGTCCTCCGAGAGCCTCAGCTGGACTGGGCTGACCTGGGCCCTCTCCCTCCGCACTGGGCTGACCTGGGCCCTCTCCCTCCGCACTGGGCTGACCTGGGCCCTCTCCCCCCGGACTGGGCTGACCTGGGCCCTCTCTCCCCGGACTGGGCTGACCTGGGCCCTCTCCCCCCGGACTGGGCTGACCTGGGCCCTCTCCCCCCGGACTGGGCTGACCTGGGCCCTCTCCCCCCGCACTGGGCTGACCTGGGCCCTCTCCCCCCGCACTGGGCTGACCTGGGCCCTCTCCCCCCGCACTGGGCTGACCTGGGCCCTCTCCCCCCGCACTGGGCTGACCTGGGCCCTCTCCCCCCGGACTGGGCTGACCTGGGCCCTCTCCCCCCGCACTGGGCTGACCTGGGCCCTCTCCCCCCGCACTGGGCTGACCTGGGCCCTCTCCCCCCGCACTGGGCTGACCTGGGCCCTCTCCCCCCGAACTGGGCTGACCTGGGCCCTCTCCCTCTGAACTGGGCTGACCTGGGCCGTCTCCCCAGCTCCTCTGACCCGCTCTTGTCAATAGGTGTTTTTCAGGCTTCCTGGTTTGCTAAGGGCCCGCATCCCTCTCCTCACTCCCCTCGTGAAGCCAGTGTCACAGATAGGCTGGAGTGGGCTGCCTGAGAGGAGCTGGCCCCCTTCTCCGCACGTACCTCCAGCTTGCCCCAGGGACCCTCATGGCAGCTGGACGTTCCCACGAACACGAAGTGTCCCCCACTCTCCAGGAAGGGCCCAGGTACCCTCTGTTCTCCAGATCTCACTGGCTCTGCTCCCTCCAGAGGGAGCTTACAGAGAGCAGAGTCTGAGGCCCTTGATGCCAGGATGGTGGGGGTCCCGGGGTGGCTGCGGCTCCTCCAGCCCCAGAACTGTGTCTGGTGTGGTGTTCCACTGAGCAGGGTTTGCAGGCCTGTATAGAATTCCAGGAGCAAGCCCTTGGCCTCCTAGCCCCTGTGCCCCACCCAATACCTCCCACTTGTCCCCATGTGCGTCTCAACCTTGTGTCCAGGCTGGACCCTCACGCGGGAGCTGAGCCCTCCAGGGGCCCTCCCCTGTCTGCACGTGCAGGTGCTGCGCCCGGCTCCGTGCAGATGCTGTGCCCAGCCCTCTACTCTCCGCAGTGTCCAACACAGAACTGAAGCGTGCCCCAGCAGAAAACGCAGATGACCGCATATTGAGATTTTTTAAAATTTCTGTGAATGTAGCTTTTAAAAAGCACCTGAAAGTAAAATGATCATTTCTCAACATAATATTAGTCAAAGAAGTTACTGAGTACCTTCTTGGAACTTGAAATATCCTCCTGAAGACAGGAAGCCAGAGGCAGGAGAGGAGGTGTGAGCCGTGGGGCTCTGGACCTGAGAGAGCTCCCCCTGGAAAGCAGTGAGAGAAGGGTGCAGGCTTGCAGTGAGAAAAGGGCTGCCCTGCAGCGCCGTGGCCCTGGGCTTGTGCGTCCACACGCAGGCACTCCGGGCGCCCTTTGCGCCCAGGACACGGAGGGGAGGGGACACGGCCTTCCGTGTGGGTGTCGGGGAGGAGGCCGGGGTGGCCACAGGTGGGCGTGCGCTGCTGCAATGAAACCAGCCGTGTTGAGTGGCTACACTGGAGAGAGCTGCTTCCCAGACAAGGGGAGCCGGGAGGGGGGTCGGGGAGCCGGGAGGGGGTCGGGGAGCCGGGAGGGGGTCGGGGAGCCGGGAGGGGGTCGGGCAGCCTCAGGACGGCCAACCCCTAACTGTGAAGGAGGTGGTTGTACAGGCCCTTGATGGGGACAGCTTCAAACGCTGCTGTCCCACGCACAGAGCTGAGACTTTATGTAAATTGCGAGATGGCAGCAGTGCCCGTAACGGCGGTTTTCCTTGTCTGTTGCTGCTCAGCAGATGACCCTGGCCTGGATCCTGAACAACAGGACGACTTTTTTCTGTGGCCGGGCGGCCTCTCCCGACTGCGTGGTCTCCAAGCTCACTCGCATGGCGGCTGGTGGGATTCTCTCCTGGGGCTGCCGGCACTGCCTGGGGTTCCTGCTGCATGCGCCTCTCCGTGGGGCCCCTCACTTCTGGATACTCCCCAGAGGACGCCAGCAAAAGGGTAAGACAGGCCACAGGTGTCCCAGCCTCAGCCCAGGGGAGGCAAGGCAGCCTCAGGCCACCCCCGGGACAGGCTGCATGGGGTGGACACCAGGACATGGGCTCACATGGCCGACATGCACATGGTCTGCCATGCGCCCCAGATGCCCACTGATGGCAGAGCGGGTGCACAGCCTGTGGGGTACACACAGGAGAATCTGGACAGGAGTGAGAAGTGAGGACCCCGCCACTCTGACATAGCTACGACAGGACTTGTCTCAGCCATGATGCTGAGACCAAAGGGCGGACCCAAAGAGGACCTGTCCATGTTCCGTTTGTAGAAAATCCTACAGCAGCCGAACCAATCCACAGTGTCAGATTCAGAGCAGCATCAGCGAGAGGAAGGGGGTGGTGGATACTGACGAACCAACCCTTGCGGGTCCTGTCAGCGCCCAGCGAGTCACCGGCTCTGTCTCTCGCCCCTCCTGAGAGACCCCAAAGGTCTCATCTGAAGTAGGTGTTTGTGGCCTTGTAAATCTGCTCAGCCTCTTTGGAAATCAAGACTCACAAGTGATTCACTCTCACCAACTCGACAAGGCCATTATTCGATGGAAGAAACAAGAGACAAAAATAACAAGAAGAAGACAAACTTCCATTTCTAAAGGCATTTGTGGTATTGCCTGTAAAAGTATTTAAATTGGGAATCAAGAGAGTGTTTTCAGCATTTGAAGGATGGATGGTGAATAGTGATTTAGGAAATTAACGCAATATGTACAATTATTGGCAATGACGTTTTCAAAGTGACAGATCTTGAGAAGACAGTGCCGATTGTAAGTTAAAACCGTGTTCTATGTGCACTAAGATGGAAACCATGCGGAATACGTCCCCGTGAGTACTTCAAGGGATGCAGATCTGTGTGAAATAAAAAGAATGTGTAGAAGTAACGGTCTATGGGTGTGTGGCTTCCGCAAGTCTCTCTAACAACAAGAGAGCTTTTGCTCACAGAGGAGATGTAGGGCGTCAGGGCCCCGCTGAGTGGGCAGGAGCCACCGGGCTGGGTGTGCAGGATCCAGGCGGACCGTGGTGCAGGGAAGCAGGGCCCAGTCTTGGAAGAAAACAGAGTCCAGGGCTGGAGGGAGCTGAGGTCGGGCGCCCGGGCTGAGGAGGGGCTGGCAGGTTCCACTCCAGCCCCCTGCCCAGATTCATCACCATCCGAGAAACCAAGATCAGTGACGTCAACATTCTCCCAAGATGATGCTGGAGAAACTAATTATGGAGAAAAAAATGTTAAGAGAATGGAAAACCAGGTGTGTGCATGAACGTGTTTTTACCTTTGAATCAATTGTGATCCGAGAGCCTGATGTCTGGAGTGCCGTCTGGGGGACAGGACCCCCGGCCTTCCTTCCACCGTCCTGGCCGTCACTTAACCAGGGTCTTGACGGCAAGAAACAAATCACCCACTGGTTCATTTTACAGCTCATTAGGCAGGCACAGCAGACACCCATTACCGCCTTTGGCATTAAGGAGATTTTGAGATGGAGGCACTGCGAATGACGCTGGGATTAGCAAAGGTCAGAGCGAACATTAATGGAATTCTCATCCGCACAGAGTAAGTGGATCCATTTCCTGGTAATGGTGTGGGAGCTATTAAAGCAAGGTTGGAACCCACACAACGAGGAGATGGCAGATCCGGGCAGGACCGAGGCCTCTGCCTAATGCACTGGTCTCTACCGCCTGGGGAGGCCCTCCGGAGGGGAGGGATGCCTGTGTTCCCCGGGCGCTGGGGCACAGGCGGACCTGATGGTGCTGTTTCCAGCAAAGGCTCCACCTAACGATTTCCCCAGCAGGGTCTTGAGCTGAGGCAGAGAGTAGCTCAGGTCCATTTTTCCTTTGAAATGATCCTTGTGACTTTTAACGTGGAAATGCTTTAGATTCACTGGATTATATATATAGATAGAGAGAGAGAGAAATGACTCACTTTGTCACCCAGGCTGGAGTGCAGTGGTGCGATCACATCTCACTGCGGCCTTGACCTCTCGGGCGCAAGCGATCCTGCCACCGTGTCTCGCTACGTTTTAATTTTTTGTACAGGTGAGGTCTCACTACGCTGCCCAGGCTGGCCATAAAGACCTGGGTTCAACAATCTGCCCACCTTGACCTCCAAAACTGCCGGGATTACAGGCATGAGCCACCACCACACCTGGCCTGGTACATATAAATTTTTTTCATTTTGAAGACCTGCAAATAAAATTGAACAAAACCTCAAAATGCAGCTGCTGTGAGGGTTTTGAGGTGGGGGTTGGCAGAATCCTCCATCAAGCCTCTCACCAGACCTCGGGCAGCAGGGACATCCCTGCAGCTGTGTGGGATCTGAGGGGCCCTGGTGAGACCTTGTACTGTGGGGAGTTCCAGCTGTCCCTTTAGACGGAGACACCCAGCCAACAAGGGGACTCACACACGCGTTTCCTCAAAGTGGACGCCCACTTGGGGAGGGCGGCTTGGCTACCAGCACCTCCTTCCATGGTGAAGAGCACGCGCGGTCAGAGACGGATCCGCCAGGGACACGGACCCTCCAGGAGACGGATCTACTAGGGACACGGATCCACCAGGGACACGGACCCTCCAGGAGACGGATCCACCAGGGACATGGACCCTCCAGGGACATGGACCCTCCAGGAGACGGATCCACCAGGGACACGGACCCTCCAGGGACACGGACCCTCCAGGGACACCCCAACCCCAGCCGGACTGAGGATGCCCATGGGACTCTGGCCAGGGCCTCTGCAGCAGCTGCCCCGAGGTCAGGACTTGGTCCACACTGCCAGTTTCTCTGATTGTTTACCACCACCCTCCCCACATCACTCCCACCTCAGGCCCAGCCAGAGAAGCCACGGGTGCTCCTCTAGCCTGACGTGTAGGACGGCCGGCTGCCGGCAGCCTGGAGCTCCCCCACCCGCTGGACACAGTGACGTTTGGCCCCGAGGCCACCGGAGGCTCCTGTGCAGAGCCTGTGTTTGCTCCCATTGCAGGCCTTTGTGTATCTCTGCCTGCCCCATATGTCTGGTCATAGATGACAGAGGCTCCATACCTCAGCATCCATCAGAGGTGGCACCACCCTCAGACTTAGACAAGGCGCTCAGGGAGGGCAGAGCTGATGTTCCCTTTCTGTGTGTTTGTGTTCTCCTTTCTCAGGGGCTATCCTGGAGTCGCAGTAGAACTGGACACAATACAATCGAGAGGTGGGGTCCTGGTGCTCGCTGTCCTTGTGGGAACACTGTAAAAGCATCTGGCTGCTGATCAGACGAAAGTGCACAGCAGGCAAGGAAGCTCCTAGCACGGTAGAAGCTCATTCTCCACGTTGAGAGACGTGAATAGAGCCTGTTCCTCACACAGGTGCTGACTTGGAGCTTGTGATGTGTGTGGTCAGGACGCAGCACCTCCCGCTGGGCCACCGCAGCCCTCACGAGGTCCCTCTCGGGATGAGCTTCGTGTCTGCCTTGGGGGCCTCGGGGGCTCTGACACGGGGGCAGGAGGGATGGCCTCGCGCTGTCTTGAGTGGAAAATAAGGGAAATGTCCTTGGAAGGGGTGATTAGGGGGCAACTTCTGGGGGAGCTGGGAGAAGAAAAGGGCTCTGAGGCTGGCCTGACGGTCCTGCCTGTGCAAGAAGAGGAAGCAGGAGACGCTCTTGTGATACCAGGAACACCAGCTCCCACTGGGGAGGAGCCCAGCCTGCAGGCAGAGCCTCCAACCGGCACCAAAGGGGACGCCAGCCGGCCAGGTCTCGGGAGGAAGGGAGGGTGGGTGAACACCAGGAACCTCCACCCAGGGGCCTCGGCTAAGCCCTCTTCTCAGCGGACACCCTCACTCCAAGATGTCTCAGCACAGGGGCCTCCCCAGGGCAGCTGCAGCCTCAGGAAGGGGCCGTGAGCCCCACACCCCACTTCCTTCTAAGCCCACGCCTTCCCGCAGACCAGCTCCTGGGTCAGGTCCTGGCCAGTTGGGAAGGGCTGGGCCTTGTGGGTTCACCAGAGACACTGTAGGGTAAGCAGCCAGCTGAAGGGGTTAATTTTATAGGCTCGAGGAACACGGCTCCTTTCAGGTTGCTGGTAGGGCTGGGAACGAGGGGCTGTGTCTACACAGACATCCCCATTGTGGGGCTGATTCAGGGAATTGATTCAGAGGCCACACTCGGACGTGCACCTGCACAGAACTAGGGCACCCCACCTGTGTGGAGCACTCGCCGTCCTGTCGTGAGCCTGGGGGGCAGCGGTGGCCTGGCATGGACCCGGGCACACTGACCCTGCCCCGCACCCCAACGGTGGCCAGGAATTTTCTGGAGCCACAGGGCCCTGCCACATGCACCATGCAGGGAGGTCCACGGATCCCCCAGGGAAGAGCAGGTGTTGTCAACACCAAACCACAGGTGGCAGGGCCCTAAGGGGCTTTCAAACACCCCCCACTAGAAGGTCAGACTCTTGGTCTCCATCCATCCCCAGCACGAGGTCTGTGCAGAGAGTGAGGGCACTGCCTCTTCTAGACCTCCTTGTCTGGCCACGCGTGCCCTTTCCCCAGCTGTTCCTGTTCCTCCAGCTGCTTCTGTGCCTTCCCTCACACTGTTTTCTTGAGAAACACACAAGCATTTGCTCCTTTCCGGTCTCTACTCATTAAAGGCCTTTCATTCCCCAAGCACTCAGAGAGACTTCCTCTGAGCAGCCCCCTCCAGCCCACCCAGTGGCCACTACACCCACTGCCTGCGTCCTGCTGTGTCCCCCAAGGCTGGGGTGAGACTCTCACATGTCTCACATAAGGAAGGAGGGAAAGAGGGAGAGAGGGAGGAAGGGAGGGAAGGAGGGAGGGAGGGAAGGACGGAGGGACAGAGAATAGGAAGGAGGAAGGGAGGAGGGAGGGAGGGAAGGAGGAAGGGAGGGAAGGAGGGAGGGAGGGAAGGAGGGAGGGAGGGAAGGAGGGAGGGAAGGGGGAAGAAGAGAGGGAAGGAAAGAAGGAAGGAGGGAGGGAGGGAGGGGAAGTTCCTCCACAAACCAGCCACCTCCCCCCATCACAGCCCTGATAGGACTGCCCAGCCTTTAGCCCACAGGAGGATTTTAAGCTGCTGCCTGTATGTACTTAGAGAACAGTTTATGGTTGCTAACGTATAATTTTCAAAAGGGTAAAATCGTGATTCTCCAGCAAATGGAAAATGGGCACACGTCGAAGATTTCATTGAATTCATTAACAAATGAGGGGCGATGTTATGGCAGACGCTGTGACTGGCTGCTGAGCACACTTCACAGAAGAGGTGTTTACAGGCAATTTGACAAGAAAGGCTGAGATAAGACCTCTGGGTTATGGACTGGTTAATGTCCAGCCGGCCTGAAATCTGTGGATTATCTGTCTCCCTGGACAGAGATCACTGCATCTGCCTTCGGCTAAAATCCAGATAATGGGACACGTCTCTGAGTCTGGAACCTTTGAACAGCAAACTGGGAGGTGAACTAAGTCCCCCGCAGCCCAGGTCTTGGGAACCAGCCCAGGTCTCGGGAACCTTCCCCCCAGCCCTGCCCACTTTAGGGACTTAGTTCCAGGTTTCAGATAACTTTTTCTGACAATAATTAACTTTTAATGTATACTAAGAGAAATGATCACGAGACATCAAATCTGTGACAGAAAGTCTCCCATGTAAATACATTTATCTAAGTACAACATTGGTTATTTTAAAGGAAGGTATGTTCTTAAGTAAATAATTGTGTAGGCACCTGCCCGTCCCAAGGTGCCACAAGGCTGTGAGTGACATTGTTTTAAGCTGCTGGGCAAACCAAATCTCAGCTCCATAATAAATGACGTCTTTAATTCAGTGATGCTATCTTTTCATTGCAATCAAGTTTCTAAATATTTGGGAGGAAGTCCTGGCTAGTCCTGGCACCCACCTCCACCTGTTCCCTCCCCAGGGCGTGGCTGCCTTCTTCCCAGGTTTGGAGAGGCGGTGTCCTCTCAGGCAGTGGCGCGTTGAGGCTGCTGTCAGCTGATTTTATGCTGAGGAGGCCCGGCCTGGACATGGGAGCCCCCACAGTGGCCAGTCCCTCCGCCTTCTGGGCACATCCTGTGGTGGTGGGGTGGGTGTGGGGTGGAACTTCCTCCCCCGGACAGGCCAGCCACTCAGGATGGGGCCCTGTGCCCTGCTCACATGGGCTGTGCTGGTCTTCAAACCGGCCTGAGGGTCAGCAGAACATTTGCAGGTGGAGATGGAAGGAGAAACAGCATCCGGTCAGCACAAACCGTAAACAGCAGGTGCTCGGGTGTGGAGCTGGAGCCATGTGTCTCTGTGGGGAGGAACAGGGGTTTGAGGGGAACATGGGGACTGGGGCTCAAGGCACCTGGATTTAATCTTAGAGACGAAGGGGTGGGGAGGGAGTGCCCACGTGGGATCTGAGAGGAGACTCGCTGGCAGAGACTGGGCAGATGTGAGCCCTCCCTGCGATGGTCAGCCCTGCTCCTGATGGCCATGGAAGGAACATTTTTCTCCACCCCACTAAGGTGGGCTTTGACCACGTGGACGCTGGTGGATGTCCGCAGGCCCTGCAATGTGTTCCAGGGAATCGGCTTCAGGAAAAACATGCCTGGAGCTCAGCAGAGTGAGGGGCACACAGAGCAGACCTGACTTGAGCCTCAGCCTGGACCCCCACCTGACACTCAGAGCCCTGGGGAGAGAGGCCGTGGAACCGCCCGGCAGCATCACTGCCTCAGCACCTGCCAAGATGGAAATGGGCACGTTCAGGTCAGATAGGAGGCTGGGGCACACTCCTCCCTCGCCCCCGACCACCCACCCTCCAAGCCTTAGTTTAGATGTTCCCTCCTCAGATCAGCATTCTCTGCCCTGAGCCACGGTGGCGCCTCACTCCGGGGCCTGCGTGCCTCCTGCCTGTCTGAGTCCAACCTCAGCTTCCCAGCCAGCAGCTCAGGAACCCACAAGGTCGTGCAGCTGCCGAGCCGAAAAACGAATGAGCAGCTCTCGCGTGCAGGTCGGCTGGGTGGGTGTACGGCTTCATGGCGAGGCATCTGGAGTGAGGGAGGCTTGCTTCTCCTGCGGGGCCCTTGCTTTGTGTGTCTGGACAGGCGCCGTCCTCGTGGCTGCCTGGGACTGGGGCCTCTCTCCATCATCACAGTCCAGGAAGAGGGGTGGCCAGTCCTAGAGCTTGAGCTGAGCTGCCCTTGGTGGCTGTGGAGATGAGGAACTGATGTTGATGGTGCAGTCGGGAAGGGAGATGTGACGGATGAAAAGGAGACCCCGATTTAGCAGGAAGTGTGGAATTCTGTGATCCTGTGCTGCTGGTCCCTGCAGAGGTTTTGGCAGTCCCCAGACACTGCTGTCTTGAGAGGAAGAGGAGTCCAGGCAGCCACAGCAGAACGCTGACCCCTCACTGGTCTGCTGACTCCTCACTGGTCTGCTGACCACACAGCACGGCCTTGGTCTCCAGGCTGGCCCCCTGGAGTCCTCAACCAGCCCCAGAGGGAAAGGAGGTTTGCCAGAGGGACCTTGCAGCCACACGTGTGGCCCCAGGATGGCAAGGACAAGGCCCCTGGCGAGGTGGTGCTCATTCCATAAGGAGTGGTTAGAGTCACTCAGCAAATCCATCCCACGCCTGCCACGGGCTTCCCCCTCCCCTGGGCACCACCGGCCACCCTAAGCTCAGAGACGTGGTGGAACCCCTCCCGTGTGGCGTGGTGCCGAGACTGAGGGATGTGCAAGCTGTGAGGAGCATGTGGCCACAGCCAGGTCTGAAAGACAGCACTCCGAACCAAGCAGATCGTGTGAAACTGCAGGCCGATGTGATACGGAGACCAGGGTGCAACTTGCTCTGTTTTCAAGAGGAGAGACTTTGGAGAACTGTTATAAAAAATGGTTGCTGTGTCTGCAGGCTCACACGGGAACTCTGCTGTAAATATTTCTGTGCCAAGGCAGCACAGTGTTGCATGGGGGCCTGAGGGCCTGTGGGTTTGATTCATCCTTTCTAGGATGTCTGCAACATTTCTTGGATGTGAAAGTTTGTTCTGAGCACGACAGTTGGAAAATCACCGTCCGTGTCCTCTGAGCTAGGACTCACCTGCTGCAGGGAAGGAGCTTTGCTTAGCAGACCACGTCACACTCCCAGGATGATGAAGAGGGGATCTCCTGCAGGGTCCTGGGGACAAACCCTGCTGGCATCTGGCCATGGGGGAAAGAGCATCCGGAGTGAAGGGGACGACAATAGTCACCACAGTGGCTGGAGATGAGCCCACACGGTCGTCTTCCCCAGCGGAGACGTTCCCTCCCGTAGGAGGGTGGGTCAGAGGATACAGAAGGCGCCGGCAGTGACCAGGAGCAATGTGCAGCCTCCTCTCCCCCAGCTCCTGGAAGCAGATTCCGTCCGGGCACAGGAAGCTTTCCCGGTAATTGGCTAACGCGCCACATGACTGCTGTCTGCCAGGCTCTAGGAGGTGAGAATTCCTCCTCAAATTAACCTCATACCCAGAAACCCATCATCGCCACTTACCAGGATGGGAAAGCACAGTGTCCTCTAAAGAAACTTACATTCAAGCTGATGATCATACTCAGACAGCTAATTAAGAGCTAATTATTCAAATGACGGATCAAAGAACCGTGCATGCACCCAGCTTTCCCCGGAGACTCGGGTCCCCTGGCACTTGCATCCTGAGTCGGGGAAGAATCCTCAGCCACATAAGTGAGGACACATGTTTGCCAAGAAACCTCAAGTCTACATTCATAGCGGTGTCTACTCAGAGGACACAGGAAAACACACACACACACACACACACACACACACACACACACACACCCGGGAGTCCTTGCAAATGGTCCCAGGCTTCATGAGAAGTCCGTGCTGGTGACAGTTGGAACGTGTTACTCTGGGGATAGCCTAATCACTACGAAATTAATTTTCTGAGCTCCTGAGAAACTTGCCTTCCTAAAAACCAAGATGGATGCAAATGAACAAGGACTGAGCAGCCCGAAGCGGGTCCATGGGGGTGGCAGCGGCACCCCTAACTCTGGCCGGGTGAGGGGCCCCGTCCAGGCAGCCTCAGTCCAGGCTCTAAGCAAACGCCGTGGCCCACAGGTGCTGCTTCTGGGATGGCGTCGGGACACTCCTGCGGGGGTAGCAGAGAGCTCGGCCCACCGACTAGCCGCTCTGCCCGCTGACCTGAGTGCTTCTCCGACCTCCGCAGTGGACGTTCACCTCTAAACCTTCCTTCATGTAAATGTTTGGTTCCCATAGCTGAGGCAAATGCCCTTGAAAATGCTTCCATCAGGAAACATTCAGACACCTAAATATATACTTTGTATCAAGTTTAATGAACACTTTGCTACTTTTGATGACTATGATTTCTTTATCTACCTGGTAAACAGAGACCAGGAGCCTTTTAGTTTTATTTCACGGAAAACACGTTGCTCAGTGGCGGCTCTCCAGCGGCTTCCCGTGCGGTCGTCCCATGGGCTGTAGGGAGGGGCCACGCACCACCCTCCTGGGAGGTCTCTGCCTCTCCTCTCAGGTGTCCGCCCCCCGCCCCGGCTGGGACGGAAGCCCCTGAGGAGCTGGTGGAATCTGGTGTGAATGGGAGCGCTTTTGCTCCAGCACTTCCTGTCCAGGCCTCTGGGTCCTGGAAGGAGCCAGGGCCGTGTAGTTCTATGAATGTGGCACCAGGACCTGTCCCCCCAGGCCTGGAGGGCCTAGAGGGAGGGAACCTGAAAAGCCCTTGTTCTCAGAAACGCAGGCTGTGTTTCCCATGTGCACAGATTCCTCAAACTCACCTTGTGGAGAGGACACAGCTGCGTTGCTCTGAAGCCCAGGGGATGTGTGCCCCTCACGGGTGTGACCTGGGGCACCGTCCTCAGAGCGCTCGGTCCCTCAGAGGTGTGATCGGCCCAGGTGAGCACACCGCCTGCTTTGCAGCCACCTCTGGAAGGCTATGAACTCAAGTTTGATGAACAGAGAGACAGCTGTTTGTCCAGGACCATCAGCCCTGAGGGCAGATGAGACCAGGCTGATGGCGGCCACCCTGCTGCTCCGTGCAGAGGAGCGGCCTGCGAGTGAAGCCACACAGAGGGGAGACTTCTGAGCGACAGGCAGGGTGGGGGCCCAGTGAACTGTGGATCTCTAGATCCACTGTCAGCTGCAATCCTGTCTTTATTATGTTTTAAATGTCATTTTGTCTGATTTAGTCTGGCCTTGGTTTTTATTACCTGGAACTCAAAGAATCTTTAGTTCTGTGCCATGTAAAGGAGATATTATTCCAGTTTACACCAGAGAAGTTCCAGGCGTAGACGGGCAAAGTGCCCAAGCGCACCCAGCCAGGAACAGGTGCGGCCTCGTGAGCTCCAGTGACCCTAATCCCTTATGAAACGTGGGGCTCAGGCTCGACACGGCATGGGACTCGCTATGCCAGTTTGCCAAATGCAGACTGCAGGGCACCCACCAGCAACGATACTGTTCAGTAGGTTAGGGCAGGTTCCGGAAGTCTCCATTTTTATCGAACGTTCCTGGTGATTCTGAGGCAGCCCCCATCTTGCTGAAGACAAGCCCACTGTGCAAGCCTGGCTGCATTTGGCCCCTGGTTTAACATCCGCACGCAGGATTCTTGCCGGCCGGGCGCGGGGGCTCACGCCTGTAATCCCAGCACTTTGGGAGGCCGAGGAGGGTGGATCACGAGGTCAGGAGATTGAGACCATCCTGGCTAACACAGTGAAACCCTGTCTGTACTAAAAATACAAAAAATTAGCCAGGCGTGGTGGCGGGCGCCTGTAGTCCCTGCTACTCGGGAGGCTGAGGCAGGAGAATGGCGTGAACCTGGGAGGCGGAGCTTGCAGTGAGCCGAGATCACACCACTCTGCACTCCAGCCTGGGCGACAGAGTGAGACTCCATCTCAAAAAAAAAATATTCTTGCCAAGGATCAAAGCCTCAAACGTTCCCATGGACTCTCCACTGACCACGGAGGAGCTGGGGAGACGCTGGAGGACACGCTGTCTCTCCCTGGGTCCCGCCACCGGCTCCAGGCAGGTGTGCACAGGGCAGTGTGTCAGCCTCGGTGTCTGAGCCCCGCCGGGGCCCGTGAGGGTCCGTGTGAGAATCGGTGTCTGAGCCCCGCCGGGCCCCGTGAGGGTCTGTGTTAGAATCGGTGTCTGAGCCCCGCCGGGCCCCGTGAGGGTCCGTGTTGGAATCGGTGTCTGAGCCCCGCGGGGCCCGTGAGGGTCCGTGTTGGAATCGGTGTCTGAGCCCCGCGGGGGCCCGTGAGGGTCTGTGTTAGAATCGGTGTCTGAGCCCCGCCGGGCCCCGTGAGGGTCCGTGTTCGTTAGAAGGGCTGTGTGTGCAGTGGACAGGTGGCACCCATGCCTTCCTCAAGGTCCTCTTCCTTGGTGGCAGGGGGCTCAGGCCCGAGTGTCCCCTGCGCTCTGTCATGTTCACTCTGGGACATCACAGACCTCGGTCGCCTTTTTGCACTGGTCGATAGAAGCTACCAGCAAATGTGTGGCCCACTCTGGTGCCTGAATGGGAACTAACAGACTTCATTCTGTAGCTGCTTCCTCGGGCCGCGTGGCTGTTCCACCTCCATCTCCCTCACTCTGATTCCCGCAGGTTTGTGCGGCTTTGCTTTGTATCATGTGCCTTTGTCTCAGGGATGGACCCCATTTGGAACGAGGCGGGGCATCCCACAGACCAGCTCAGTTCCTACCCCAGAAAGAAGGGCTGCTGCTGAGAACTGAAAGGTCTGCTGGAAAGGAACAGCTCTGATGATAAAAACTTTGCCCCCGAAACTCATATTTCATAGGCTCTTTCTGAAGAAAAGTGAAACAAATAGTGTAGGTTTAATTGGATCCACGCCTGCTGGATCCAATACACACAGCAGCTGTATTTGTGCTACCAAAAGGGGGCTGGGGAGGGAAGGTGGTCTAGTGGGAGAAGGGAAGCAGTTATGACCAGGAGTGTCAATGAATCTGCCATGTCACAGAATTTTCTAAGAGACGTGGACCAATTTGGTGGCTGGGCTCAGAAGTGGCAAAAGGCGACAGCTGTCAACCGCCTCCCCGCAGCACTGCACCTCCCTGCTGCAGCCACAGCTGCCCTGTCCAGAAATCCTGGGGCCTCTGCACCGCCAGGCCCTTCTCCACCCGCTCCAACTTTGCTCGGCGCATGTGGGTGAGTGCGTTAGGGTGGAGGACATGCACGCCGGAATACTGACCCAGAGCTTCTGGAAGCCTCCCTGTACGCATTGTGATGAGAAGGCTGGAGTTCCAGCAGCCACGCTGGCAGGGAGCATGGAAGCCATGAGCAGGGATGTGAGGCCCAGGAGCAGAGAGCTCCTGGCTCTGGAGCCCCTGGGAGCTTCACGCTGGCTGTAAGTGCCAGCTGCCATGCTTCCTGTGCATGGAAGAAAATGCGCTCCATCTTGTTTCACCCACCGTGATTTGGGGTTCTGTCTAGGTGGCTGAACGTAATCACAGGGAATGCCAAACACCACTGCCCAGTGTGCAATGATTACACAGCAGCTCCCACAGTACAGCCCATGTCAGCACCCTCTGTGATGTACCAGGGTTCACCGTGGCTGCCTGGTCCCCAGGCCGCTGTTTCAGAAGAGTGGCTGACTACGTCAACCCTGCACGTCCAAGAGGCGGCTCTCATGGCCCAGGAAATCCACAACAGGTGTCTTTGGTCTCTCAATATTCCCTGGCTTGTCCAGCTCTCACTCACTATTGCCCCCACCCTGTGAACTGAAGTGGAGTATTATTCCCATCGTATCAGTTGCAGAAAAGTCAATGGCGTAGCATGGCGCAACATCTGTCCCCTCCCCTGTTGGTGTCTGGGAAGCCGCAGTCTGTGCTCACCAGGTAAGAGCTCCTGGCCCAAGCCTTTCGAGCATGGCCCTTCCAGGCTGCTTGTCACACTGAGATGTGAACAGAAACAGAGCTGGGTAGGCAGGCATCTCCAGGGACACCTGGCAGAGGGACGGTGCAGCTGCCATCTGGCCGGGTTTGCAGGACGCTCTTCCCATGCAGCGTCTCACATGTGCCTCGCTGGAGTCCTTGGAGGTGGGGATCATTGCCACAGCTTTGCAGATAAAAAGGAGGCAACCTGCCATGGTCACACGGGTGCTCCGCCCATCAGACGTGAATTCATGTCTGTCTGAGCCTAAGCCTCTGAGCATTCTCTGGAGCGCCATGCTGTGTGGACAGGCTGTGACCATGAGCCACTAGAGCCCGGCCTGGGTGTGCCGTAAACCCAGCCCGGCCTTCCATTTCCAGGCCCTCTGAGGGATGTGCCTTTGGCCTCTGAGGCCCTGAGCTCCACGTGGGGAGAGCTCAGCCCCAGGCTGGCACCTGCCATGCCTCCTACGGAAGCAGCCACGGCCCCGAAAGACAAGACACCCTGCACAGAAGGCAGGTCCACAGGCCCTGAGTGCTGGCAACATACGTGAAGGAAAAAGAAACGAAATGCTGGCCAGAAAATTCATGCTCTTGGGCCAACCTCTACTGGAAAAGGCCAGGCGACATTTCTAGACCTTTTGTGTCCCAAAAATTAAGCAGTGGGCTCACACAGCTTTAAGCCAGCAAGCTCAGTGATAGCCTAGCTTTCATTGAAACACATAAGCTGGTCCATCATTCATAATAACCTAACGATGAGTCTTTCCTCATGTTTACGGCTTCAGAAAGAGAAGGTAGCAAGTGACAGGTCTTGGTAATGTCTCCAGTCATGTTTCTTTCATTGTGCCCCGAAAGCAAGGCTGTCCCCGTGGAGGGTGCAGAGTCAGTGGGGAAAAGGGGAAGAGCTCCTTCAGCTGATGACAGACGTGAATGGGAGAACGTAGAGGCTGTTTTCTCATTCCAAAGGAAAAGGAAAAAGAAGAATCAGAAAGGTCCCCTGTCCCCTCCTTCCCTCCAGGCTGGACTGTGTCCCGAAAGGAGGCTGGCCACGGCCCCGTGGCTCGTGGGACTGCCACTGGTTGCCCGGCCGTCCAGGAGGTCTTCATCTGCGGTCTCCCCCTCTGGTGTCTCTAGGTGTTCCAGGACCCTGCAAGCTAAATCCAGTGCTATAAAACAGCTCCTCTGTTTGCAGGGGGCTCTATGCAGAGGCAGCCCCGGCAAATCCCTCCTGCGCCGTGAGGCTCTCCAGGCTGATTTCTCCACCCCTGCTCTGGAGGAGGGAGGCCTCTGAGGCAGGAACAGCCCAGCCCCGGCATTTGCAGAGATGACCACTGGGTCCCGTGTAGGGCCAACCTTCTGCCACCTTCCGGAGTGCCCCCAAATCTGTGTTCTCCAGCCCAGACAACCCCGCATGTCCCATGAAGAAAAGTGCCCCACTGAGGTGCGGGCTGGAAGCCTTTTCAACACTATTCAGCTCCTGCTGAGAAACCTCTCAGGTCCCGCAGAGCGCAATGCAGAGCGGAGCAGGTCCAGGACCAGGGCAGGGCAGAGGGTACAGATGGAGCAGGGCCGCCCAGGATGACGGCTGCAGGTGGAGTTCTGGAAAATTATCAGGATGATGACAGACCAGGGCCGGCGGTCATGGCTGAGGACCAGCCCCCAGACACTGCTGAGGAGAAAGAAACTGTGAAGTCGACCTTATTTTACTCTCAGTCACTAACGTTTCTGGGCCGTTAAAGGCGGATGGCACAGAAACAGGCTGAGTCCCTCCAACCCCACGGAACCTGTCCTGACAGGAGAGACCCCCAAAAGGAGCCAGGACGTCCTCGGCGGACACAGGGGCCAGCGTCCCCATGCCCCTGAAGGTGGAAGCCTGGGGCCTACCAACTGGTCCTGAGGTCCGGGTGAGAGGAGGGCCTGTGGCGCGGGGGCTGGGCAGTCACCCTCACACCTGAGGCAGCAGCTCTGGACAGGGACAAGCCCTAGAAACTCCAGCCTCCAGTGAGCGGGAGCCACTGCTTGAGGGGGCTTGGGAAGAGGGATCCTCTCCTCACTGGCTACGGCGGGAAGAGGGCTTAGTCTTCGTGTGCTCAGCTGTGAGAAGCCTAGAAGTGCTTTGCTGTCGTTTCCTCACTTAATAAAGACAGCAAATCAGCCTCACACTGCAGCCTCCTGGATTCTTCCCATTTCTCATTTCCTCACTTAATAAAGACAGCAAATCAGCCTCACACTGCAGCCTCCTGGATTCTTTCCATTTCAACAACCTTATTAACTGGTTAATTCCCAGGTTAAGCCAAGTAACCCGGCAGGTGACTGGGAAAGCTGAAGGTTCCATGCCTGCTCCAATTAATGTCTTCTTAGGACAGACTGGAGAGTTCAGATTCACTCTCTAAAATGACTCAGAGAAAGAAAATTCACTGACTTATGAAAAGGTCAGTCTCCATCACTGACAGCTTCATATCACAAAGAAAGGCATTTTCAGAGCAGAGACACTTGATCACTGGGAATTACTGACTCCCAAGCCCAGAAAATGCCACTGGATACCCGGCAAAAGACCTCCATTAGAGCAGAGGGAATCAGACGGCACTGGTGGGATTAGCAGTTCCAATGGCTCCCAGAGCTCAGAGCTCCCAGCCAGGGCAGCCACACGTGAGGGACTTCTCACCAAATGCAAGTGAGCTTTGAGCTAATGCTTCAGAAACAAACTGGTTTTACAAGCAGGCTTTAGGTTAATGGTACACTTTTTTAAATGAAATAAAAAATGAAACTACTTTTTATTGGCTTATATAAGGGATCTGGAGTCATCAGCCTCTTGCATTGGTTTTATGCATGCAAACATAAAATGGCATTGTTATCTCAGGGTCAAGCTTATATTGGTAATTCTGGGTCAATCCCTCTGGCTTTTCTATAAGTATTTGAAAATACTGATATGATCCTTACAGGACTTCTCAAATCTCCTGGGGGCAGCATCCTTGGCCAGGATGTGCTCAGGGAAGACCACAGGTGCATCTGTCCAATAAATCAATGACTTCCCCCAATTAGCATAAGAGTTAAATATAATCAAACTATGCAAACTAGGTGTACCATGAGGTAAGTAAACCTCCTTAGAAACCAACTGAACACGCTGATCAATATCTGAAATTGTGGTATCTGTATAATTGCAGTAATACTGCGATAATCAATATCTGCATAATTGCAATACAAAAACTACAAGAATTTGATGTAATAAATGAAGATTTTACCTAGTAGGTTAACAAAAAAGAGCATGTGCTGGTAATTTATGTGCTGGTAAACATTTCACAGCTGGATCTCAGGAACAAAAATGCATGCATGCATATACATGGATAAGTGTATTATAAATTTCAGTGAAATAAAGCATCTGCAGTGTACAGTTTACAAATATAGTATACAGTACTCATTTTTGTAAATTGTATATGACCAATTGATTCTCGCAGAAAACATCGGCTCATTTCTGGAAAACTCGTTTCTGCAGGGAGACTGTAGCTGTATTTGACCAGGGAGGGTAGGCCCGACACAGATGCTAGTGAATGTTCTTATTTGCATTAATGAGTAAGACAAAACCAAAACGACAAAGCAGTCAGTGTGATCTCGTTTGTCAGTGACTTCTCTGCTGAACTGAGTAATTGTTTTTAAATGCCAGAAGAGTTCTTCAATTTTTTTGCTGTTCACAGTGCAATGGCTTCAACACTTTTAAGTCTAATCTGCATTATTAACACCTTCTCCATCAGTCTGAGTTAAAGGCCAGCTCTGGTTTGTAGCACTTGCTGGCGTCTGCAGCGTCAATGCATCCACCGTGAGCCACTCCAAGCTTCCACCTCGGCAGGGCTGAACAGGAGCACGCGGCGTGGGACGCCTAAGACAGGAGACGTCTCCTGCGGACCGTCCAGGCTGCTCTCGGGGAGGCTGGCCTGTGGACTTCATCCATGGGCTTCCATGGCCTCTGGCTTCCAGTCCTGTTTTGCCATTGGCGACCCCTGGCAGGGACTGGCAGGAGGCAGGAGGATGAGGTCTAGGTCTTATTCTCCTATGGGGTCATCTTAGTCTCTGTCTGGCCCTCGGTGAAGGTCATGGCATCTTTCAAGGTGACTCTGTGCAACCTGACTTCCAGAATCCATTAACTGCTCCTCCCCTCCTGCCTTCAGACCAGGGTGAGAATAGCTCTGCTATTATTAGGTCCAGAACACTGCACTTTTTTGGTAGTTTTCCAGCCCTCTGCCTATGTCTCTGCAAACAGTCCCCTTACCAAGCCCTCTGGGGATGACGCTAGTGTGCCCTGCGTTCCCGCTGGGACATTGACACAGACAGAACCCATACAACAGCAGAACTCCCCAGAGGACAGCCTCACCACGTGCACAGTGAACGGCCTGTGTGGGTGCTCCAAGACGACAGCCTCACAGCGTGCACAGTGAACGGCCTGTGTGGGTGCTCCAAGACATCAGAGGGGTCCCAGAGTTCTCCAGAAAAAATAACTATTCCACGTAGCTGCTAGCGTGAGACGCTGGGCCAACCCGAGCATGTGGGGAAGGCACCTTATGCTCTGCCATCACCCACAATGTGATGGTCTTGGGGGTGGGGCTTTCCGAGGTGAGTAAGTCATGAGGACCCGTTGTCGTGGAAGGCTTGAGTGCCCTTATAAACGAGGCCTGAGCTGGAAGGCGCTGTGAGGAACAGGCCCTCCCCAGATGGCAACTTGGTCTTGGACTTCCCAGTCCCCATAAATGTGAGAGATGATTGTCTGTTATTTTAAGCTTCCCAGTCAGTTACAGCAGCCAAACTTCTATCAAAAATAATAAAAGAACAGCAATTAGAAGTTTAAGAAATAAAAGGTCTTAGTTTAAATATAAAGAAACTTAAATGTGGCAGGAATTTAAAGAAATAATGGAGGACAAGGAGAAAGCGCATCTGACCTTAAGGCTGGGAACGATTCCTTTGAGTGACTCAGGGGTTGTGGTCCTGGGCCTCAGGGAGGGACATATTCGCCCAGCAGACGGCTCAGCCCTGGTGCACACCCTTCATACAGATGTGCACCAGGGGAAATTCAGTTACGGTTAAAGGGCTAAATGCATACTTCATCAGCTCATCAGCTATAAAAGCAATCCTCTAATAGGATCCGGGAGATGAAAGAGGGAGTGGGGAGGGAAGGGTGGGGCTGGAACCTCCTGGCATTACAGGGTAGGGACCACCGGACACTGTCAGAAATGACGCGACAAGAAATAGCCTTGAGTACTTTCAATTAAAGCAACAAAGGCAACCACAGACAAGCCAGGCCTACTCCCACCACTGCCACTGCTGGCCGCGAGGGAGGAGGCCAGCAGAGCCCAAGTCCCTGGCGCGTCAGTGCCGCTGTGCTGCTGGTCCCCGCTCACCTCTGCCTCGTTTTCGGGCTCTCTGTGTGTCCTGACACCTGTGCCTCTCACTTGGTGGTCTTTCCTCCGTCCCTTCTTGTTTGCCCGGCCCCTCTTACAGTGTAGCACTCTAAAGCAGCTTTTCTTTATGGAAATCTGTTTATTCCAAAGCTCTGAGGCAGTGTTATAAATATTGGTTTAAAACATTAGCCAGGGGATTACTGATAAAATATAAAATAGAAACAATTTCCCAAGGAAACTTCATCTAAAAATACACCAGTTTCCCCTCTCACCTCACTTGAGTAGAGGCACCAGAGGGTGTGTCAGGACCTGTCTCGGGGTGAAGGTCTCACTTCCTCACGCCTCTCCCACATGGCTCCCAGGAATCCCCCAGGAATGGCTTGGAAAAAAAAAATCTGTGACAATGGAGAAGAGTTGCCCCCAAAGAAACGTGCATATAAACAGCTCTTCCAGCTAGAGAAAAAAAAATTCTGCATAAATAATTCAGATTGCTGAGCTTGGTCCCTCATGCCTGTAATCCCAGCACCTTGGGAGGCTGAGGCAGCAGTTTGAGACCAACCTGGACAACATAGCGAGAGCTGGTCTCTACAAAAAATACAAAAAATTTAGCCAGGCATGGTGGTGCCTGCCTGTGGTCCCAGCTACGCAGGAGGCTGAGCTGGGAGGATCACCTGAGCCTGGGAGGCTGAGTAAGCCAGGATCACACCACTGCACTCCAGTCTTGGCGATGGACTGAGACCCTGTCTCAATGATCAATAATAATAATAATTCAGACAAACCAGGTCGAAAAATGTCCTGAGACGGTGAACTCAGGACCCAGCTACCTGGGGTGGACACTGTGGCTGATGGACCGGAAAGGGTAACACCAAAGGGCTCTAGGAGGTGTCTCATGTCTGGCTGTTGTCACTCCCCTTGGCCGCTGAAAGCCTTTCTGTTCCCCAGAATCGAGTAAGGAGCTCCTGGACAGAAGTGGGGAAGGAGTCTTCCTGCTCAGGGCTATGTTACTTAACTCCGTTTAAGTGACAGAGCATGAACAGGTCATATTAGTGTCACATGCACCCGATTTCATTCTCCATTTGCAACAATGAAGACTGTATAACGACATTGTTAAATACCCCAGAATTATAATTAAATCTTATTAGCCAATAGAATCTGAGTGTGCTAAAATCTCTATTAGCCGGGACTGATGTAGCCACGATGGCCATGCTCGGCGCGGCGGCTCACACCCGTAATCCCAAAGCATTTCGGGAGGCTGAGGTGGGCGGATCACGACGTCAGGAGTTTGAGACTAGCCTGGCCAACATGATGAAACCCCGTCTCTACCAAAAATACAAAAATTAGCTGGGTGTGGTGGCACGCACCAGTAATCCCCGCTATTTGGGAGGCTGAGGCAGGAGAATTGTTTGAACCCAGGAGGCGGAGGTTGCAGTGAGCCGAGATCCTGCCATCGCACTCCAGCCTGGGGGACAAAGCCAGACTCCATCTTGGGTGGGGGTGGGGAGGAAGAGGAGAGAGACCAAGCAGCAATATCATCGATAACAAATTACAATCCAAATTCTAGGCGGTGTTCTGGGACTGGTTCACATCCAGCTTGGTCTGGCCTTGCCACTCCCACAGGGCAGGACACACTGAGGTCTGCCTGGGGGTGCCTGCTCTGGCGGCTGGGCTCCCCGCTTTCTGCAGGCTCAGGTGCCCCCTATTCCTGCAGCCCTTCCTGGACCCAGCCTGTCCTCATCTCAAACTCGGGGCTGCTGGCCTGAGCTTGATCCCTTCACCGTTTCTCACTAATACGTCACTCTCGCCTCTTAAAAGATGACAAAGACTCTCTCCTTTGACCACACTCGAGTCAGGCTCCTCTGAGCCCTCCCTGTGACCAGTCCCTGACCTTGGCCGGTTTCGGCCGATTTAGCAAGAATCCTGCTGAGTCGGTTTAGTGAAAATCGTCTACTCTTGGTCCCTGATCAAAGTCCTCAACTCCCACCCTCGGTCTGTGACCACACTGCCTGCCTTTTCAGCAAAAATCCTGTCTATGCAGCTAGAACCCGCCTTGCCCCTGACCCTTCCTCTTAGTAATTTTCTCTCCACTCCCGACCCTACGCCTGGGCTGTCAATTCCCACTTTTTCTATCTGGAGTTGAGCCGGATCTGCCTCCCCTAACCCAACATCTCGCTTTAGCAGCCCCCCCACCTTGAATAAAAGCAGCCTTGCCCTCTTTAACAATTAATAAGCACAGACTGGGACAGGACATCCCCCTCCATCCCAGCGCCCATGCACCCTCAGCCACGGTCCTCAGACCTCAAGAAACCCAGCGGGTGACAAGCTTGGGTGTCAGCGGGGCTGGGATTGCTGCTGGGGGCACAGGAGCTCGGGAGCACTTTGCAGGTGAGCAGGGCCTGGACAGGGGCTTCTCTGCAGCCCACCCCTGGGGAGGACTCCGGGCCCTCGCCCTGGACGGCAGAGCTCGTTTTGCTGTTGCCCTACTGTCTCCGCGACCTTGGGGGTTCACTTAGCACCCCCAGGCCAACACCTGGCCTCTCCATGCACCAACACCTGGCCTCTCCTTCCCTGGCCTGCCGCCCTGCCTGTGTCTGGACTGTGGTTCACCGAGTGTGCACGTGGGCCTCGGAGGCTGCCCTATAGAGCCCAAAGTCCCAGGGAGGAGCAAAGGGGACCAAGTGCACACTCACCCAGCTTCCTCTGCCCGGCAACGTCCCTGCCCCCATCTCCCCTCCACCGCCACCAGGGCCTGCATCCCCATCTGCAAAGGGGACAGGGTGCCCACGCCTTCTGAAGCACGCGCTCTCCAGGCCGCTCTCCGGGCGTCACCCCGCCCTGCTCCCCTCGCCCCTGCACAGCCCGAGTCCAGCCTGGTCGCTGCCATCAGGACGATCAGGACCGACCGCCACCATCAGTGGGGACCGGCCAGGGCGGTTAGGCCCGGTCCGGGGCCCCAGGTCCCGCGTCCCCGCCGAGGCCAGGCAGGGAGGCCTGGCTGCCCCGGGCTTTAGAACCAAAATAAGCCCCGAAATGATTGGCGGCGCCCATGCGCCAGGAGAAAACCTAAAGGACGAACGTTCCCGAGTACATATAAGGACGATTAATATTTATTGCACAACTTTTTTTTTTACTTCCTTGTTAAAGAGGAAAACCTTACGCTAAAAATAAAACGACTAGGAGCCCTTGTGCCTGCGTGGGTGGCGCTCGCGCCTTTAAACCTGAAGCCACAGGGGCTCAGCCCCCCACCCGCGCAGGGCGGCTCCTGCGCATGCGTAAACAGAAGGGGTCGGGGCGCGGCCCAAGACGACGCCAAGGGAGCGGACGGGCGGGGAGGAGGTGGCCTCTGCGCAGGCGCAGAGAGGAGCGAGCGACTCCTGCGCAAGCGCAGAGTGAAGGGCCGGGAACAGTGGAGGGTGCGAGGAAGACAATGGGGGAGGACCCTGAGGCGGCCTCTGTGAGCCGACAGGAACACGTGGTCGATCAGAGAGAGACTCGTAAGTGCACGGAGCTGATGAGGTGACTATGGCGTTGCGCAGGCGTCCTGTAGAGGCGGGTTGTCATCGGCGCAGGCGCGGTGTGGAGGAAGCCCCGGCGCCGGCGCAATGAGGAGGCGGCCGGACTCGGCGCTGGCGCAGTGTGGAGGAGGCTCCGGCGCAGGCGCAGACGCAGGGCGGGCAATGGCCGCCTGGGTCTCTCGGGCAGCCCTGCCCACCTCTCTCGCGTCTCCTGGTCTTGGCCTGCGGCTCTCTTTCTGGCAGGTGCCGCGGCGTCTCCTGCGGGCCTGACCGTGTTCTCCCGCCTAGCCAGGCTCTTCTGCGCTCCTTTTTTGTTGAGATTTTTCCATCCCCTGCACAGGAAGTGTCCTTTAATTACTCCAGTGTTTTTTTAGTTACTTTTTAAGAAACATTTTGGACTTTTCGATACAGAATAGTGTCAAAAAAAAAATTTAACCTTCTTCAGGTTATATTTTAGTGAATGATATTAATATATGTTCCAAAGTTGTATGGGATTTCTAAAATTCTAATTTTTCTGAGTATATGCTACCGATCATAATTATGGTTATGTTGTTGTTATAACCAAATTTCTTTGTCAATTGTGTCTTTTTGAGTATTTAAAGTCATTTCCGCAGTTAATTGCTTCATGCTGATGTAGTTTCTGAAAACTTCACAAGCACACAAAAATCCTAGAACATGGTGTCTTTTAGGAGGTTCGTGAACGGATGGGGAGGACCCTGAAAAGCACTGTGGAATACAGGTTTCTAGTAACTTCAAAATCACATCATTTGGACTGGGTAAGAATTGCTGAAACTTTAATGAAAAGACTGACTGGCTTATAAAACTGCTAACCCAAATAGAATAAAAATTAATTGAATACCGAGGAAATGCTTCACCAGGTTTGCATACTTAATCAGCCTATACTGAAATTGTTTAGATATACAATTTGAATGAACTCCATGGTCTAAGTCAAATTACCTGTGATAACCCATCAGTTATCCATGCTATGTGCCCAATTTGGAGAAACAACTGGCACCCAAGAGGACATAAGTCCGATGTTAAGCATGGACTCATGGAGAACCAAGATGGCTGCCTTGTCCTTCGTGAGTCCTTAAAGCTTTTGTTATTAAAAGTTATGCATTCCATGACTCATCCTGGAAAAGATAAAATGATCCAAATTAAATATGTTGGTGTGGTGACTTACAGATTGTTAAAATAGTTTATAAACAATGTTTAGTTTGTCAAACCCATACTCCTGGGAAGTCAATCAAAGCTTCATGTACATTTGGCTACCTGATGAGGCATTTAAACATTTATAAAGGGGTTTCATTCAGTTGTCATTTTCAATGTATGTGTTCTGGTTGTACTAAAGCTTTCCCATGCAGGAGGGCTAATGTTATAACAGTAGATTACTATGTATCAGTGTATTTTCACCAGGTAAAGAGCTTTTTATGGTTCACTGAGGACAATCAACCCCTTCACAATCTAGAACCCAAAGATGGGATCTTCTGAGAACATCAGAGAAACGCTGCCCTTGGCATCATCACTGCAACAAAACATCAGGATCTTGAACCTTGGGGTCATAATCTCACAACTGAGCAGGGTCACTCTTGGAACTCTACATCCATTGAAACCCTTAAGGTAAAGCTAATCAGGGAAGTTTCTCCCCAGAAGAAGATGGCATCCTTGATGTGAGCAGCTCTTTCTGAAGATCATGGATCAAGACTTCTTACTATCATGAGACTCTTATCTTTGAATGTTTTTCCGTTGCTTCCGCCTCTGTGAACAACAGAAGTGAGAAGGGGGTCTGTTTTGTGCACTTATGGGGTATACTTTTATTTGTGAAGGGCTTTGCAGCCAGCTTTATACATGGATAATCTTATAACTTGATAGATAAAGATGAAGGCCCAGTGTATCATAGGTGAGAAACTTCAATGGTACATATGGTGCCTCATAATCATTCAGAAGCAGAACATTGGTTCACTCCTCTTAACCCACAGCATGGGTTAAAGAGACCATTGCCAAGAGGCCTTCCCTCTTCTAGAAGGGCATCATTTGTTAGGTCCTTTTTCCATGGTTTGGAATTAAAAAGGCAATGACTAGAAACATATCCCTCATGGTAGACTCTGTAGCAGATTCTACTGTAAAGGCTACACAACAGATGTTAAATTCTCTTGTGAAAGTTATGCTAAAAAATAGAATTGGCTAAACAGGAAAGTACCTGTGCAGATGCTGGCACTTAAGGCCTATGGAGAAAACATCAGGTGTTATAGAGAGTCTGTTGTAGGGAATTAACGAAAAGACCACTGAGTTAAGTCAAAGAATGGTCTATTTGAGTTTAGGTGGTCTGGTTTATGGGGACCCTGGCTAAGGAGCATACTCCAAATTCTTGGTGTTAACCCTCTCAGTAGTCATAAGAATAGTCTCCCTGGTGCACTGTATTCTCTCAAAGGTTTTAAATGTTTGCATGAAGCCATCTTTAGAACGTCAGATGGTCTCTCTTCAACTGGAATGACAAGAGCTGAAAGAAATGTGTGACCACGAGGACACCGAAACCGATGAGTGACATGCTGAGACTGGAAATCCAAAATGATAGTAACGGAGAGTGGCGCTAACATCCTAAGTTTTGGTCACACTCTTGCCTAAGTGACAACCTGACAAAGGGGGAATTTTTTAAACAAAATGATGGGAGGCCATTGTTTTGGACTGAGCACTAGGTCCCAACAGACCAAACCGAACCAAAATGGCATCATTCGTGCTAAATGTGACATAATCGAATTAAGACTTTAAGGAAACACATGGGTCCTAGAATAGACCAGGTTTTGTTTTTCTCTTGCAAACAGGACTTTCCAGCATAAGGTGGTATCCTCAACTCAGTCCTTGTTCCTACCTTTGCAAAACTCACTGTTCTGCTTCCTAGTGGGTTTCAAGACCAATGGTGACAGTGACATCAATAACTCAAGTTTCGATCAATCTCTCAAAACTGATAAAATGACCAAAAAGGGGGAATTGTTAAAGCGAACTAAATATGGCCTGAGAAGGACTCCGTACTTCTGTATTGGAGTCCCTGTGAACAAACTGAGCCTAACTTAATAGGTAGACAAGATTGAAAACCTAAATTAGGAGTATGTACCTGTCACAATTGCTGAGTCTCGGCCAGTCCCAGCAGCCGTACTTCAATCACTCATACACTGCTGAATGTTCAAACTGTGTGTAAATAAGGCAAATGCCAACCTGTAACTAATCCAGGTGTTTCTCTACCTCACTTCCCTTTTTTTGTCTATAAATCTTCCACCACGTGGCTGCACTGGAGTCTCTCTGAATCTGCTGTAATTCTGGGGGCTGCCCGATGTGCAAATCATTCATTGCTCAATTAAACTCCTTTAAATTTAATTCAGCTGAAGTTTTCTTTTAACAAGAGTGAGATAAGAATCTGTGTTCTTATCCCCCAGAATGGACAAATCAGTAGCGTTCCTTGTCATTCTTTTGTGGCTGGTTTCACGTAAATATTTTGTGTGTATGATAATAGAATTTGATTTTAATGAATATACTTTAAAAGCAACTTTTTTTTTATTCTTCCTCACCATCGAAGATGGAGAAAAATAAGAAGGGCTGTCTTGCGGTTCCATTTCTTTTGTGGATAGTAAGAAGCGCTGTCTTCTGGTTCCGTTTTTTTTTTCTGGATAGTAAGGATGTTTATCTTACTCTGTCTTCATTGTCCTCAAACCTCAAGTAGTCACTAATACCCTGGCTATGACAGCTTTTATCGTAGTGTTAAATGGCAGATTTATTTACTTGGCAAACATTGTCAAGTCTCAGAAAAATTACCCCATGGTCTTGCCTTCTTCCCTCGTGAATTGCCTTCCACTGATGGAGAGGATTTGATCTGTTCCCTGCTCATCAATTTTTCTAGCTTCTTTGGGATGTCCGCTCTGCATATCTACTAAGGAATTAAGAAATAATGGCTTCAGCAAGAAACAAGGCAGGAAAGTGCAGTGACATGAGGACCATACAGGGAAGGAGCTGTCCCCAAAGGTGAGAATGGCCCTGGACAAGGGTTCTTGCTGTGACTTCACTCAGACCAGACCACCTTGACCTTTTCATCACCGTGCCTCAGCGAAGTCAGTCGTTGATTCTCTGATCGGTTACTGAGATCATCATGAAATCTCCCTCGTACGAGAGTTGCAGAACTCTGCAGTGTCAATCATAGTGTTTGGGAGAGAGGACTTTCTACCTCCATCCTTTTTCTGAACCTAAATGGAATGAAAATTAGAACTGTTGCTTATTCTTTGAGGTAATTTCAAATTCCCTTATCCAAACCAGTGTTACAAAAGGACTCCAGTTTGCCCCCCAAATCGGTCTATTAAGAATGTAATGATGAATTTTCATCCAAATCCCACAATATGAGCTTTTCTAAAATAACTCTAGAAACAAATATGACAATATTCCAAAATTCCTGCCCTCAGACCTTATTTTGTATTAGAGTTATCTGTGTATCCATTTTGTATCCCCTGAAGCACGATGAGCCACTTGAGGCCAGGTACAGCCATGGCGTGTATCCCAGAGCACCTGTGAGAATGTCTCACAGACAGTCCGTCTCTCCTGAATATGAAGGGATGGGCACCAGCCGGAGCCACCATCCGTGTGACTGGCCCGTGGCCGCCTCCAGCTCACACAGAACCTCTGCACGCAACGGAAAAAGGTCTCCCCTGGGTGAATGGGGTGGGAAACGTGTGCCCCTCCAGGCGGCTGGTGAGCAGAGTGCTCCCCTCGGCAGGGTGTGACTTGTACAGCTCCACCACGGGCCCTGTAACAAGACAGGCTTCGACCCTGCCCTCTTGCAGCTCGTATGTATGAGGGGCAGCCCAATAAATAAATAAGCAAATCCATGCTGTCATTTCAGGTATTAGCTAGAGCTTTGGAGGAAAAGCAGGCTGAGGGGAGGGAATGACGGGCAGGAGCAACGCAGGCAGCAGGCCAGGGAGGGGCCGAGTCGGGGCCTGGGTAACAGGCAGTGCCATGTATAAAACGTTAAAAAGTGTGAAAACCAGTTTTACATACTGGGTAGTTAATATTTCCATCTTCCCCCCATTTTGGTTTCAGTTCATTCTAGGTTTCTTTTCATTTCCTGTATTTCTTCGACACTATAGTTTTGTGCTGGGTCAGGCCAGCCCAGGGTGAGTCCCACTGATGGCTGCTTTGGGTGAAGATTGAAGCCTCCCCTCCAGGGGCTGCAGCGCCAGTCTCTGTGTGTGGCCTGGTCACAGCACTCAGGCGTCTCCGACCAGCAAGAGTGTCTCGGGGACACTGGTTCTCCCCTCAGGCCTCCGACTTGCAGGGCCTGCCTGGGGGTGGCCAAGGGGATGCTTGTGTGTCCACACACAGTGTGAACACAGCATCTGAGGGCGCCCCAGTTTCCTCTGCAGACTTCAGGAGAAGATTCTCTAAGCAAAGTTCACAAAGAAGCAATAGGACTGAGGCAGGGTAGGGGAAATAGGTTGATACCAAAATACAGGGAGAAGTGCCCTAATGTGTGCTGAGGGTGCTTTGGAAAGATTTCAGGTGACTCAGCCGGGGTCAGGCATCTTGTGAAGACAGGAGAACTGCGGGCCTTTCTGCAGCGTGGACAGCAGGTTCCCTCTCCTGGGCGTTCCCTTGCCTTCGGATTTGGGGGGTTTCCCCTGGCAGGGCTGGGACCCCCTGCAGACAACGGGGACCTTCCAAAGTCTGGGAAAAGAAACCAGACCAGGTACTGGGACGCAGGTCACCAGGAGCCGGCAGCGTGGGGCCCAATAGTGAGGCCCTTCCTGGGCCTGTGGCCTCCTCAGTACTGTGAGGCTGCCAGGCTGAGAGTTTCTTTCCAATCTGAAGTCCTCCACTAGACAACTGAGGAGAACCTGCATCTGTGCGGGTCTCCTGGTCTCCTTGGGTGTGATGAGGGCAGAGACCCCCCTACAGGCCACAGAGGAGTCCACTAAGGCTCACCCAGGCCTGCTGCTCCAAGGACCCACCCAGTCCCTAGGATTTGTGCTTGAAGCCGCCACTGCCCTCACGTGCGTCCTGCCCACGCTATGCTCACACGTGTCACACGCCTGGCCTTCCACGCACGAGTGCTCCCACATGCTGAGAATTAGCCTGTTCTGTGAAGGGCCACCCGTTCTCGTCCGTCCTCCTGCGGTCGGACACTTGATGTAATCAGGGTTTGGAGACGTTATCAATAAGGCTGATAGACATTCTTTTACAGACACGATTTTTATTTCTCTTGGGTAAACACCCGGGAGTGTGGTCGCTGGGCAGTCGGGAGAGTGGCTGTTCCGTTTTGCACTCCCAGCAGTAGGGAACGAGAGTTCTAGTCACTGTGCGTCCTTCCCAACGTGCAGTTGCCAGCCTGTCTCTTTCTAAAGGCATATTGCTAGTGGGTATGAAATATACCGAATTTCTTTTTATTTTAAGCTCAATTCCTTTACGTGTTTTCTTCCTAGTCCCCAGAGTGGCTTCTGTCCCCGAACATAGGTATGAATGGTGCTGAGCACTGGACCACAGGGTGAGCTCCGGTGGGAGGGTTTTGGCAGGCCATGGAGATGAGTACTTGAATTAGGCCCAGATTGCAGAGTCAGGAATTGCTGGGTACAGCCTGTCTGCATTTTGTTTTGGCTTCAAACTTTACAACATTCATTTTAAGTTCTGAGGCCTTAGGTCCTAAGAAAATGTATTATCTGGAACAAATGCAATTGCCAAAGTCTACAATGACTTTGCTTTGTGCCAGACCTCCTGGAATATGCCCATTCCTGGTTCACAGATGTCTGTCAGGCCTGCCCAGGGACCAGGTCCCATGCTGTGGACTCTGACCCCATGCACGGAGCAGTGGAGGCTGCCTGCTCGGCCTGGCTGGCGTCTGCCCCAGAACCGTATCAGACGCCTGCTGTACATGCAAACACAGCGCCCTTGGCTCTTGGCAGGCCAGTCTCCGCTAATCACAGACAAACCTCTAGTCCAGATTGAGGAACATGTGGTACCACTCTCATCTTCCACACCCAGCACAGACCTCAGTGACTGATTGCGGCTGGTGCTGCTGTGAGCATGGACGCAAGCTCTGCTTCCAACAGCAAACTTCAGAAACCCACTTCCAACAGGGAAGGCTCGCCCCCGACAGGAACACAACCTCAGAAACCCACTTCCAATGGGGAAGGCTCACCCCCAACAGGAAGACAACCTCAGAAACCCACGTCCAATGGGGAAGGCTCATCCCCGACAGGAACACAATCTCAGAAACACACTTCCAATGGGGAAGGCTCGCCCCCGACAGGAACACAACCTCAGAAACCCACTTCCAACGGGGAAGGCTCACCCCCGACAGGAAGACAACCTCAGAAACCCATATGTCCAATAGGGAAGGCTCATCCCCGACAGGAACACAACCTCGGAAACCCACCTCCAACGGGGAAGGCTCACCCCCGACAGGAACACAACCTCAGAAACCCACTTCCAACATGGAAGGCTCACCCCCAACGGGAACACAACTTCAGAAACCCACTTCCAACATGGAAGGCTCACCCCCGACAGGAACACAACCTCAGAAACCCACTTCCAACATGGAAGGCTCACCCCCAACGGGAACACAACTTCAGAAACCCACTTCCAACATGGAAGGCTGACCCCCAATGGGAACACAACCTCAGAAACCCACGTCCAACAGGGAAGGCTCGCCCCCGACAGGAACACATTTCTATCTCCAGGCTGATGAATACTGAGACAAAATGCAGCACAGTCCTCCACACGTCCCTTTTGCTTTGGAGGTGGTGGAGTGACGCCCTTGATAACCAGCCTGTGCTGCCTGAGTGGCCCTTTGAGTTCGGGTCACAGTGTCAGGCACCAGCTCCTTCCACTCAGCTGTGCAGACTTGCAGTGGGTGCGTCTGTGACAAGCATTCTGCCCACCACCTGAAATTGATCAAGTCTTTCCTGCATATTCCAAGTCTTTTCTCTGTTGATGGAAAAACCAAACTCTGTAAAATATTTTAAAGAGGTTTCTTCTGAGCCAGTGAGTGACACAGCCAGACAGACACGGTCCCAGCGAGTCCTGAGAACGTGTGCCTGAGGAGATCGGATTGCAGTTTGGTTTTGACATCTCAGGGAGGCAGGAGTTATAGGCAAAGACATACAGCCATGCATGGCAGGTCCACACTGGCTCGGCCTTTGGAGGTGGGACACCTTGAAGGGGGCTTACAGGATATAGATGGATCCAGAGATTCTTTGAGTTCCTGTTGGTGAGAGGAGCAAGGCTCTGTCTAAAACTTGGAACGTTTAAGTTAAGATCCTGCTACAGGATCTGTAGCCTACAGGTGCAGCCTCAGGTCCTGCTCAGCCTGCAGGTGGGACCCACCCCTGCCTTGTGCGGCCTCGGGTCCTGTTATAATTCGGTATCCTATTGCCACCAAGAGTCTGCTTTGTCAGTCTTAAGATCTCCGTTTTAACATTACTGCTGGTCAGTTGTGTCTAAACTCCCAAAGGGAGGGAGTATGACGAGGCATGTCTGACCCCCTTCCTGTCAGGGCCTGGAACTCAGCTTTTCAGGTTTCTCTGGGTCCCCTTGACCGAGAAGGGTCATTCAGTCAGTGGAGGGGGGGATTCAGGGTTATGCTTTTAGTTCACACCTCCAAAACAGGAGGCTACCTTTTAAAATGAAGTAATCACCAGTGACGTGAAAATCAGAGTTGACTTGAGAACCAGATGATGGGTGCTTCCAAAAGGCTCAGACCTTGGCCCCCAACCTGCCTCCCATGCTCAGCACTCAAAGACCTTGGCCCCCCCACCTGCTTCCCATGCTCAGCACTCAAAGACCTTGGCCCCCCACCTGCCTCCCATGCTCAGCACTCAAAGACCTTGGCCCCCCACCTGCCTCCCATGCTCAGCACTCAAAGACCTTGGCCCCCCACCTGCTTCCCATGCTCAGCACCCAAAGACCTTGGCCCCCCACCTGCCTCCCATGCTCAGCACTCAAAGACCTTGGCCCCCCACCTGCCTCCCATGCTCAGCACTCAAAGACCTTGGCCCCCCACCTGCCTCCCATGCTCAGCACTCAAAGAGAAGGAGGGCAGGAGGAGCCTGGCCACTCCTGAGCAGCCTGGGAGGCCTTTCTCTAGGAGATGGCCAGGCGTGCACGGTGGGGTGTGGGGGCACCTGCGAGGAGACCCGTGCAGGCCATGCCTGAGACGTGCGGAGGGATGGGGACAGGGCTGCCTGTCAGCCCACCAGGCTGCCAGAGCACCAGGGTTTGTCAAGGGCTTTCTGCCTTCCCTGGGGCTGGACACTCCCTCCAGGCTGCAGCTGAGTCGGGGGCACAGCCACAGTGAGTGCTCAGAATCCCCCTCCTCATGGACAGTGCTGGGCGCTCAGTCTCCTGCAGGAGTGCCCCAGCCTGAACTCATGCAGCAGGGCTGTCCATCAGATTCACCTGACCCCTAGTCATGCCCGAATCCCTGCAGGATGGAGGACCTGTGGGAGACTTCGCTCCAGCTGCAGTAAGTCAAGGTCAGCTAGGGCCACGAGGGCCCCACCGGCCAGTGTCCTGGCCGAGGCTCCCAGACACCAAGGCCGCCCAGGCCTCCAGAGCAGCAGCCAACTGCCCCTCATTCCCCGGCCTCACTCACAAATAGCCTTCACCCAGACAGCCTTCGCCCTGTGCACCGCGGCTGGGGCTGGAGGGGAGGCAATGGCCGTCTCCCGTGTGTGCACTGGACGCCCGGAATCTCAACAGCACTCACACTGGAACTTGAAGGTGCCCCGGGGAAACCCACGGAAGCACAGTGGTGCCTCTGGCTGCCTGGAGCCTACCCCAGTTCCTCCCTGGCAGTGAGAGAAAGCTGCAATCACCCATCAGCAGGCTTTATTACAGAAAAGGAAACGCAAATTGGGCCTCCGCTCCTGCTGGGAAGCATGGGAACATAAGGTGGGAGGAAGATGGAAGGGGGAACAAAGAGAAACACTGCAGACCGGCTGCAACCAGAGGCTGCAGGTGCAGGGCTGAAACTGAATCATCGCCATGCCAGCAGGAGTGGCCTGCCTGGAGTAACCCACCCTTCCAGGGAGCACAGGCTGGGTGCCCTCCCCAGGGCCCAGGCAGGCCCCTCCTCTGGGTCTTGGGGCCCCGGTAAGAGCAGGAGTTGGAGAGGGTGGGCTCCTCGCCTCCACTTTCTCTGTCCTGTTAGAATTCTAAAGGGCGGGGCATTTTCTGTGTTAGGGAATGCTCCAGAAGACTTATGTGACCTCAACTTCAGCTAAATTTCTAATAGGAAAAGTTGGTAAGCTAAACAAAACCCTAAGCCCCCTAAACAACTGAAAGGGGCCCCAGAGAAACCTGAAAAGCTGAGTTCCCAGCCTCGATGGGAAGGGAGGCCCGCCACGCTTCATTATACTCCTTCCCTTTTGCAGCTTAGATGCAACCACGGACCAGCATTAGAGGTCATGGAGATCTTAGGACTGACAGACAGACTCTTTGTGGCAATAAGATACCAAATTATAAACAGGACCCATGCAGGCAAGGGTAAAGTCACACCTGCAGGTCATCATCTTGCTACACAGCTTCCAAATTTTAGACAGAACCTTCCTCCTCCAACCAAATGCAAATTAAAGAATCTCTGAATCCACCGATGTCCTGTAAGCCCCAGCTCTGAGATGTCCCTCCCTTTCAGGTCAAACCAATGCCGACCTTCTGTGCACGGCTGTATGTCTTTGCCTGTAACTCCTGCCTCCCTGAAATGTTAAAACCAAACTGCGGCCGGGCGCGGTGACTCACGCCTGTAATCCCAGCACTTTGGGAGGCCGAGGCAGGTGGATCACCAGGTCAAGAGATCGAGACCATCCTGGCCAACACGGTGAAACCCTGTCTCTACTAAAAATACAAAAATTAGCCGGGCGTGGTGGCGGGCACCTGTAGTCCCAGCTACTCGGGAGACTGAGGCAGGAGAATCTCTTGAACCCGGGAGGCGGAGGTTGCAGTGAGCCGAGATCGCGCCACTGCACTCCAGCCTGGTGACACAGCGAGACTCCATCTCAAAAAATTAAAAAAAAACTGCAACCCGACCTCAGGTCCTTTCTCAGGACTCCTTGGAGCCTGTCTCCCAGGCTGTGGTTGCCCCTGTTGGCTCAGAAATAACCTCTTTAAAATATTCTACGGAGTCTGGTTTTTCCATCAGCAAGTTTAACTCTAAAGTGGACATTGTTTTCCTTTCATAAAGGGCTGGGGCTTCCCAGATGATAATGAAAAAATTAAATTTAAATGTTATTTAAAATACATTTCTTCTTTCATTATGAAAGTAACAAATGGAAGAACATGTTTCCAAAGCCATCATGGTTTGTTAATTTTTAAAACCAATGAAGATAGGTTAAAAAAGTGAGCAAACATATTTTACATATATTTTTAACTTGAAAACTTATACATATTTACTCATTAATTTCTATAGTAAACTTATTGAGGTATAATTTTCATACAATTGAGAAAAGGAAAGAAATTGTGCTGAGGGATGATGCAAGTCCTTTTAAACGATCAGGCCCAGAGAGGCAGTCAAGTGAGGCGGCAGTGACTTCCCACTCCCCGCCTTGGAGCTGTGTATTCGTCTCTTGAAACGCTGGCTGTTGCCTCAGGTTAACCTCCTAGTGCAGCAGCAGACACTGCAACTCACACCCTACGGCTTAACAATATAGAGCCAAGCAATAGATTATGTTACTTTAACATAAATCCTTGGTCAACAACTTGGAACAGCCTCTTCTTTCCCTTGAAAAACCCACCTGTAACAGCTGCTAATAGGAGGTGTATTCAGGGCAACTTGAATCTACGCTTCCGGGCAGCAGTCCTCAAGCTTCGCCCAAACTCCCTCCTTACATGAATTTTGCCTCAGGTCTTGCCTTTGAGTCCAATTCAATGTGATGTTCAGTTTTCAGTCATACAAGTTGACAAGTTGTGACCAATGTAAGCCATGCATCCACCGTCCTGGTCAAGATGCATGAGGCTTCTGTGACTCCAGAGAGGCCCTCCCACCCCTTCCTAGCCAACGCCCCAGTCTTGGACCTCCAACCCTCCCTCTGGTCGTCATCACCATCTGGCCACTTCTCCATTCATGAATATTCCCACCCCTTCCTAGCCAACGCCCCAGTCCCAGGCCTCCAACCCTCCCTCTGGTCGTCATCACCATCTGGCCACTTCTGGCTCCATTCATGAATCTAGATATTTCCATATAGGGACAAGCTTGTATTTAGCATTGGTCTGCTGATTGAAGTTCTTCTTCTTCTTTAGTGTAAACCCCAGGCTTAACTCTCCTTCCTAGCCACCCAATTTCATATTTTTTAAAGTGGACCAAGAAGTTGGGCACATTTTAAGACAATCTAAGACCAGAATTTCTCCAAACGTTCACCAATTAGTTTTCATTTTTAAGAGTCATCTTGTCTATACCTAATTCAAAAGCAATTTTTAAAGCAGCCTCAAGTTACCTTGACCTTGTTTTCCCAAATCACTTATCTAGGTTTATGTAGAAACAACTTTCTGTCATTTTGCACTGATATGTAATAGGTTACATAATGTTGAATTAAGTTTCATGGTGTTACTGGAACAGGGTCTCAATCCAGACCCCAAGAAGGGGATCTTAAACCTCGTGCAAGAAAGAATTCGGGGCTAGTCCATAAAGTGAAAGCAAGTTTGTTAAGAAAGTAAAGGAATGAAAGAATGGCTACTCTGTAGGAAAAGCAGTGATGTCCGCTGCTCAACTGAATATACTTATGGTTATTTCTTGATGATATGCTAAACAAGGGGTGGATCATTCAAGATTTTGCTGGGAAAGGGGTGGGCAATTCCTGTAACTGAGGGTTCCTCCCCTTTTTAGACCACATGGGGTAGCTTCCTGACATTGCCATGGCATCTGTAAACTGTCATGCACTGGTGGGAGTGTCTCTTAGCATGCTAGTGCATTATAATTAGTGTATAGCGAGGAGTGAGGGTGACCAGAGGTCACTTTCGTTGCCGTCTTGGTTTCAGCCAGCTTCGTTACCATATTCTGTTTTATCAGCAGGGTCTTTGTGACTTGTACCTTGTGCGGACCTCCTACTCATCCTGTGACTAAGAACACTGAACTTCCTGGGGTTACAGCCCACAGGTCTCAGCCTCATTTCATCCAGCCCCTATTCAAGATGGAGTCGCTCTGGTTCAAATGCCTCTGACACTAGTAAGGATCACAGGTGGCATCAACAGGTTTGGAGCAAACCTGAGTGTCTCCCGGTTGGTCACATCTCAACTGACGAAATCCACGACCAGCAGAGAGCAGCCTCCTTGCCCCCTGTGCTCACTGAGTCATCCAGCCCATTTTGACCAAGATTATGTGAGTTGCTGGAGCAGAGGTTGGTTGAGGGAGCTCCCACTGTATGTAATCACCGTGTCTTGCACAAAATAAATAGAAAACACAAGAATACACTCTTATGCATGATCCTACAGCCCAGAGGCATCCACTTCCTACATTTTGCATATCGTTTTCCAGTGTCTAACAAATACTTTAATGTACTTACAGTCAACATCATTGCAGGGCTAGAGGGAACCATAATCTACAAAACTGTCCTCAATTCTTCACCAGTTACAAGGGTAGGGGTCTCCAAGACCACCCTCAGTTTTGATAATTCGCTAGAAAAACTCACTGAAAGCTGATATACTCATGGTCATGACTTAGCACAAGGGTAGGACACAGATGACTATCAACCCAGGGAAAGGCGCTCAGGCCGGAGTCCAGGAAGTTCCCACCTGCAGAGGGTCCTTCCCCACAGAGCTGTGGGCAGTGTCACTTGGGGCATCCAGGTGGGATCCCCCGAGCTTAGTGTCCCAGAGCCTTTGCTGGGGCCCCATGGTTGACTGCCCATGCGGATGGAGGTCTCCAGCTCACTCGAGGGTGAGCTCATCGCAACCCCTACCTGAATCACACTTTAGGCCTCCTGGTGTGGTCCAAAGGCCCAGGCAAACCAAGACCGTCCCATGTGGCTTAGAGACCACCTCTCAGAAGCTGGGGGAAGAGGCCAGGTCTCTCTGGGCAAGGTTCAATTCTTTATTACACCGTCATATATAAAGGATTTATTTTTCTTTCCAAAAGTTGGATTGCACTACACGCTTTGCTTTGCAATCTGCTCTCAGGCTCGTGGCATGACCGTGTGCCACACGCCGCTTTGTTCACTGAGGCGGACTCAGAATTCCTGTCATCGTCCTCTGCTGCTCACCTGGCCGTCCTCGGCACCTGGGTGGGAATGGAATTTGAACACTGGCGTGATTGTGGGTTGGTATCTCAGTCTGGGGTTCTAGAAGCAAACCCAAGACGAGGATTTGTGTGGAAGCAGTATAAATAAATGATGTGTTCCCTGGAAGACCCCTTTGTGGGAATGGGGGGTGGTACTGGGTGGGGAGGAGGCCGCACGCTGTGGGGGTCACTCCGGCTCCATCTCATGGAGGAACTGGGAGGCTGCTTGTCACTGCTCACAGGTGTGCCCTTTGGTTTGGGGGGTGCTCAGGTGCTCTATGTCTTATCTGTCATTCACTGTCTGAGGGTTATAAATTCCCAGACAGCGTAGCCCTCCAGGAGCTCAGCGAACCCCAGGGAAGAGGTTCCTGTGGCCAGAGGGCAGCCCCTGCAAGATTCAGAAGCCGGATGCTGGGACTGAGAGACCTGGGGCTCGGGGGCCTGCAAGATTCAGAAGCCGGATGCTGGGACTGAGAGACCTGGGGCTCGGGGGCATAAAAATGGTCAGTGGATACAGAGAAATGTGGGCAGAGTCCTCACGGCATCTGCTACGAATAAAGTCTGAAGGCGCCACAGCACTCAGAAGGGCCGGGTGTGATTCTCTCCTGGGTAAGTGTGTGCTCTCGGTGGGGTCAGCTGACGGAGACTGGGACAGAAGCTTAGTGGCCGCTCACCACTGTTTCGTCCCAGCCGCGTTCACCTGGGTGTCAGCTCCAGCAACCTGGGCAAGGATGGGGGAAGAGCATTCTGTCCCGTGGGTGCCGCATATGCTCAGGCCATCAGCTCTACCCCAGTGGGTGCAGGCTCCCTCCTCTGCACTGAGCACCTCGCCCCGTCGTCCTGAGCCCTCCATCGTCTCCACTTTGGGCAAAGGCCAGGGGCTGCTTGGCAGGGTCTTGAGCAATGGAAAGGGACCAGCAGGCTGATCGCTTTCCCTCCTCCCTACCTTAGAACAACTCAAGGTGCAGGGGCCCCGACGGCCTCCCTGAGACACCCTCATGAGCCATCATCGGCTGTTTTCTTTGTGATCTGTGGTAGCTCAAAATAAATACATAAATAAATAACACATAAACAGAGCATCACTCTGAATTTGTCCCGTTTCTTCCCTATCTCCGTGCCTAACCCCACTCCTGCTTCCCTGGGCTTGCGGACCACCCCCCACCCCCACCCCCACCCTCACCCCCACCCCTAACCCCCGACCCCCACCCTCACCCCCACCCCTAACCCCCGACCCCCACCCTCACCCCCACCCCTAACCCCCGACCCCCACCCGTTGTGCAGATCTGGCTTCTGGACTTCCTTCTGCTGTCCAGCCCACCACTGCCCAGCTCCTCAAGAAAAAGGGCTCCAGGTCTGAATCCTTCCCTCGGGGGCGGGATGTGTGGCTGGACCTGAGGTCAGAAGCGCGGCTGAGGCTGCAGACGTGTGCACAGAGTAAATGTGTTGAAATACTTTACTGCACGTGTTCCCTTTATACTCTCTTTTCACACTGATTTCAGGCCTGCAGTCTTTGTGCATCTTTGCTTACAGGATTTTGCCGTATTGTAAATCAGAATGACCCTGAAGTTTAAGCTAAGCCAGACTCTTATGGAAGAAAAAGCTAGGTGTCAGAGGTGGTGGGGGTGGGGGATGCGGGGAGAGGGCTTTTGGGAAGCGCTGGTCTAAAAATCTTTCCAGACACAACCATTTCTTACCTCCACCATCACCACTCTGATGGAGCCACTGTCACCTGTGACTTCTGTACCTGTTTTGTATGGCTGCCATGCCCCTCCCACCCACCTCCAGTCTACAGACAGAAAGGCACGTGGATAGATAGACAGAAGGATAGATAGATAGACAGAGACACATAGATAGATGATAGATAGATAGATAGATAGATAGATAGATAGATAGATAGATATGATAGATGATAGAGACAGATAGATGATAGATAGATGGATGATAGATGATAGAGGATAGGTGATAGATGATAGATAGATAGATGATAGATAGCGACAGATAGATAGATGATAGAGACAGATAGAGACAGATAGATGATAGATAGATAGAGACAGATAGATAGATGATAGATAGATAGATGATAGATGATAGAGACAGAGACAGATAGATGATAGATGATAGGTAGATAGGTTAGATAGATAGATAGGTGATAGATGATAGGTAGATAGGTAGATAGATAGATGATAGATGATAGATGATAGATAGATGATAGATGGATAGATAGACAGAAAGATGATGATATAGCTCTCCTTCTCCCGCTTTCTGTTCTGAGGTAGCAGGCCACACTCAGGAATGCTGGAATGTGGGTGTTTGGTGAAAGTGCTCTGTGAATGAACAATATACATGAGCTGTATCTATATCCAGTCTAGTCTCAACACAGCAGCCAGAGGTTTCTTCCAAAAATACATGTCAGCTCAGACCCCTCTCAGCTCCCGTCTCTCCAGCAGGTCCCCATCCAGCTAGGTCAGGAAAAGCCACCTTCACGATGGCTATGGAGGCCCCCAAGGATGTCCCGCACTCACCCCCAGAAGCTTGAGTGTGATGAGAGGCCGCCCTGAGGCACATTGTTCTCTGGACAGTTGGCCTTAAACGAGGGAGGTTATCCTGGTTTCTGGGGGAGCCCTGACAGCAGAGAGCGTCCTCTGGATGCAGGCGGAAGAGGGTGGCAGAGAGGACTCGGCGTGAGGAGGACTCAGGGTGCCCTTGCTGGCTTTGAGAAGGCGGATGCAGCCAGCCTTGAGCTGACAGCCCACAGGGGAGTGGGGCCTCTGTCCCTCAGCCACAGGGAGAAGTCCTCTAGCCCCCAGTGAGCCTGAAGCATGTTCTTTCCTCGAGCCCCAGACAAGAGCACGGCCCACTGGCACCTTGACTTTGGCCTATGAGAGCAGAGTACCCCGCTGAGCCAACCCTCTCCGACTGTGATAATACATGGGTGTTGTTCAAGCTGCCACATTGTCCGGGGGCTGTAAGAAATGAATACTGTGGTCTGCAAGTCCCCCTGACAGTCTCCCACCCTCCTCCCTGGTCCCTCAGACACCCTTGTTCCTCCCGTCAGAACCACAGGCCTCATACTCCCTCTGCCAGAGGCCCTTCCCCAAAACAGAGGAGCGAGTGGAGCAGACAGCTGCCGGCTGGGTGTGTTCCAAGCCTCGGCGGATGCTTCAGAATAGAAGCGCCCACGCCGCTTTGCAAAGTGTAAGTGACCGCGTGGCTCACAAACAAGCCTGTTTTCTGTGAGTCCTGGCCCTTCCTGGAAATGGTGGGGAGGGTGGCTTGGTGAGCTGCCCACATGGTGTGTGCAGGAGGTGAGCTGATCACTGGGCCACAGGTGGCTGACGGGGGGCAGCCATTGAGTGGGACAGGAGTAGGTGACCAGCAACTGCAATAGTCAGGAGTGTTTGGCGAGGGCCTTCCTTTGGCTGAGAAAGGAGGCAGATGCTGAGTGTTCAGCAGTTTGGGAGCAAGGAGAGTCCCTTCTCCTCCTCCCCTCCCCTCCCTTTCCCTCCTGGGCCATGCAGTAGGACTGTGAACAGCATAGGAAATGCACACAGAGGAGCTCAGGACGCCCAGGAGGACCTCGAGGAGTACCCAAGCAGAGGAAGCTTGCACCCTGAGTCTGCAGTCGGCTGGGGTGGGGCCCCTGCACTGGAAGGAAGGCTGGGCCCCCGACCCAGTGGTGGCTTCAGGGCCTGGTGAGGGTCACTTTCAGGCTGCTTAGACCTGCAGCCTCCCCAGGTGGTGTGCTCAGGCAGTGCCTCTGGGCCGGCACAAACGGGAAGGTGCTGAGGCCGCGTCTACCTGTGGCTTTAAACACTGGCTTCCACCTGCTGGCCTCCGCGTCCCTCCAGCCGGCCGCCTGGAGCTCATTTTGTGAAGCTGGTTGTGTGTGAATTAGGTGATTCCCACTGTGAACAGTGGAACTCTTGCACATTCCTTGTGTAATTTTGTCCTTAGCATTGTGTTCACCTCGTGCGCCAGCTGCAGACCCTCTCAGGACCGCCCCAGAAATGCTGGCAGCTGGTGAGTGAGCATCTTCAGGCAGCTGTGAGCTGTGTGAGATGATTTTACCAATGCCAGCCTCATATCCACGCTCTGAGCATGTCTGAGGTGAGAGGGCTCAGCTATGATGCCCGGAAGATGAGGTGCATTAAATGCATTTTGACCTGGGGTATTTTTTTTCTATTATTATACTTTTAAGTTCTAGGGTACATGTGCACAACGTGCAGGTTTGTTACATATGTATACATGTGCCATGTTGGTGTGCTGCACCCGTTAACTCATCATTTACATTAGGTATATCTCCTAATGCTATCCCTCCCCTCTCCCCACCCCACAACAGGCCCTGGTGTATGATGTTCCCCTTCCTGTGTCCAAGTGTTCTCATTGTTCAGTTCCCACCTATGAGTGAGAACATGCGGTGTTTGGTTTTCTGTCCTTGCGATAGTTTGCTCAGAATGATGGTTTCCAGCTTCATCCATGTCCCTGGGGTATATTAAACTTACGATGGGTTGTCAGGATGTGGCCCCACCAGTCCAGGAGCATCTGGGCTACGATTATTTATTTTGTTCCTAGAATTTCTCCAGCTTGGGCATTGGGAGCTCTTGCAGACCCCGTCGACATTCACTCCCTGAAGCCTCCAAAGCCACCGCCCTTCCCTGACATCTTGTGCAAGGCAGGAGGTGTGCGGCCAGTTTCCACAAGGAACAGGGTCTCCTCCAGGCTGTTGGTCCCTGGAGAAGTAACTTTTGCAACTTTTGTAACTTTTCTGTAAGCCTAAAATTATCTCAAAATACACAGTTAAAAAATGAGTCAAGTGATGTCACCCTGGAATCTGCAGACGAACACTAATGATAGCAGCAACAATAATAACAATGGCCTTTGTTGAGTGTGGCAGGCAGTGTGCTGGCACCTCCTGTGCGTTTTCTCATCAAATCCTCCTTAGGAACCCAGGGTCTTCCCATCAGCATCCTGACCTTGTGCATGAGGCAGCGGAGCCTGGGAGTGCGGCGGGGCAGCCGGGGAAGCGGAGGCGTTCCAGGGACGCCCATCTCCGCCGCTGGCTGGCAGCCTTCGCTCTGTTAGCTCAATGTTTGCCTTAATGCACCCTTTAGAATCGCACTCCATCCTTGGAGCCTTCAGCAGCTGATAAAAAAAGAACCCTTCTGTGTACACATTGGCAACTCTACCACCCTATTCCCAGTGGAGCTCCGGGAGCTGAAAATAACCGCGTGCTTTCTGTTTCGTGCAGAAAAGAGGACGTGTGCACTTTATTTCATAACACTTGCCATTTTTGAAACTCTGATTTTTCCCACATGTATTTTTTAAATGTCCTTGGAGGAAAAGACACACTGCGGATTTTGCCAGCTTCCTCTTTTTTTGTAATCCAGCCCAGGTCTATGGGCAGGTCCAGATCTTCAGGGAAGAACTCCTGGCCACCAGATGTGAAGAACGACGGGAAAGAAAGCCTTGAGCCAACACAGATGGCCATGGGGTGGACTTGCCAAGAAGTGCCAGGAGACAGCTCCCTGGGGGTCCGAGGCCGAGGGCCATAGGAGGAATGCCATCCTCAAGGGCCCCTGTCCCTTGCAACCCAGGCCAGGGAGGAGCAGTGGCCTGCCAGGGTCTCTGCATGGCCTGTTTCCTGTGCAAGGAAAGACCACTGGCTAAGACAATCCAGGGCTCTGTGTCCTGAGACAGGAGCAAGGGTGGTCGTCCAGGGCTCTGTGTCCTGAGACAGGAGCAAGGGTGGTCGTCCAGGGCTCTGTGTCCTGAGACAGGAGCAAGGGTGGTCGTCCAGGGCTCTGTGTCCTGAGACAGGAGCAAGGGTGGTCGTCCATGGCTCTGTGTCCTGAGACAGGAGCAAGGGTGGTCGTCCATGGCTCTGTGTCCTGAGACAGGAGCAAGGGTGGTCGTCCAGGGCTCTGTGTCCTGAGACAGGAGCAAGGGTGGTCGTCCAGGGCTCTGTGTCCTGAGACAGGAGCAAGGGTGGTCGTCCAGGGCTCTGCCTTCCCTGAGCTTTCAGCACTGTCCTCACCCCGGCCAAGCACGGCCAACGGAGGGAGGTGTTTGTGTCAGGCTTCCATCTGCATGATGCTCACTTGCTCCCTTTTAACTGAGTTGAGCCCCACGGAGATGCATTTTGGGGAATTTCCAGTGAGCACAGAGCAGGTGGGTCATGGGAGGGTCAGGGCTGAGCACGGCATCAGAGGACGACCCTGCCCTCCGAGGAACACCCTCCTCCGAGGCCACCGGCAGGTTTTCCGGGTCAGCTCTCTCCCGAGGCTGCCAGGCTGTGCCCTTTCCCATCTTGCTGCACTCACCCTGGACCAAGGATCCCAGATGCTTGGCTGTGAGTGAAATTCCTAGGATTCAGGGCCAGGCTAGAAGGGCAGTGGGAGTGGTGTCTGTGGCTGGAAAAGACCCATGCCTGCCTCCCACAAGGCCACACAGCCAGGAGGTTAGGCAGAGAGGTGGGACGTGCCCTTCGACCCCAGTGAATCTGCGCAGTGCTGGAAATACAGCTTGGACTGCACAAACGTACACAGTTGGTCAGCCCTAGTCCTCCCAAATGGGACTGAGAGGAGACCCTCCCAACACCTGCTGTTACATCGAGGGGAGCCTCTTGCCTTGTGCAGTCACTAGGACTAGGCTGGTCTCATCTCCTTCAGTGATGCACCCAGCGGGTCGCACTGCAATACGACAGGAAGAGGAAATACACGGTAAAAACAATGACAACATAAATGCATAAAGTGAACACATTTCCTCTACAAAGTCAGTAACAAATTAGAAAATGTAATACGGACAAACTTAGTTCTGTTCTCAATACTAACAACCCACACATGAACTTAGCCGGGAACTGTATTAAGAACAGTATTAAAGCAGAGGCTTCATGTGGGGAAAGGTCCCAGGCTTGCTGAGGTTAAGACAATTTACCTGTGTAGAGACATGTCATCACCCTGGAGACAAAGGCTGATGAGCAAATAGACTAATCCTCCCCTGACTTAAGAACTTATAAAGTCGAAACAAAATTATATTTGGCCCTCTTAAAACATGCTAATGGGATTCAAAAGCTTATCTGGAAAGCAACTGAGCTTGAAGAAGCACGAGCCATTTTAAGAGAAGAATATTAGGAGGGGCATTCCCTGTCAGAAATTAAACCACAGTGTGAAGCTATGATCACTGAAAACATGTGGCACAACTGCAATCATCAATTATATCAGGGAAAACATAAATTACTCTTGAAAGAATTGGAATTTATGAAATAATTGTATGTGTTTGCAGCAGGGGTTAATGGTATCACATATCTCTAGAGAAAGATGTGTTCAACCAGTGATCTGTGATAAAAATAAAATATGTACAATAAATTAGATCTTCTCATATCATCTTAAAATATGACAAACTCCGGAGGTGCCCAGAAAACAACTCCAATGAATGGTCTCCCCCAGCCCCAGATGAAGGCAGTGCCCTTGGGTGGCCCCAGGGAAGAGCTCTCTGCCCAGGGCCACTCTGTGTGGGTCGTGTGAGGGACTCTGGGTCTGGAGCTGTGTCACCAACTACCCTTTGGACCGGCCACTTTCTAAAGGATCAACATCCACAGATTCAGCAGGGCTGGGTGAGGAGACCCAGTCGCCCACCCAGACGGACGACCTGCAGCGGCACACACCCAGGTGCCCACTCCTCTTGGGGGGAGTCCCCATCACTGGATCTTGTCAGCCCTGTGCCACAGAGAGGCTGTGCTGCTATTGTGCGTTTTGGCAGCAGAGGGTGGACACGTCCAGGGAGGGTGGATTAGCTGAGGAGCAGAGCTGGGGCCGGTGTCTCGGCAGTTCACCCACTCCCAGTCTAGAGCAAGAACAGGGTGGACCCTGCGATCCTCGAAACGAGAGTGTTTCCCTTCCTCAGACACATGAGCCAGGCAGTGGAGTTGGGATGTGTCCCTGGATGGTGGCAGGTTAGAGGGGTCCCCAGGCTCCCACAGGAGCCCAGGCTCGGGGAGGAACCCTCTGCCCCTGGCAGAATGGGCACCTGCGTCTTTTATAGTGGGAGCTGGGCCCAGGGAGGGACACACTTCCTTGTCAGATCTAAGACCCAGTTTCTGGGGGGACAAGGGTCTCCAGGCACCCAGGGAAGCTCTCCCAGGCAGAGCCCGGCCCAGAGCTTGCACTCAGGGGTACAGAAGGGATACAGGTAAGGACGTAACTGGATGGAAATTTGTGACTTCAATGCAAAAATTAGAATGTCAGAAAACCTAATAATTAGTAAGCTAAGCATTTGCTGTGAATCAGATAATAACTAGGAAAATTAATATAATGCACAATGAATGGAATGACTACAGGTAGAAGATTGAGAATAGCAGGTGGTGGCAGAGATGTGGATCAACCAAAACTGCTTCTGTTGGTCAGAGTGGATGTGAACTGTGAGGCTGTAGAATGATTTGGGAAAATTGTCTCTTCATATCTGTTAAAGCTAAATGTACGCCTAGCCTATGACTCAACAATTCTGCTCCTAGGTATATACCCAAGAAAAATCCACAAACAAGTTCACCAAAAGGCATGTGCAATACGCAGAGTGACACTATTCATGACAGTCTCCAAACTGGAAACAACCCACATGTCCACCAATGGATAAACCGTGGTCTGGTCACACCATCAAATACAACAATGGGAGTAAATGAGAAGAATGAATGAATCTCACAAACACAATGTTGAGTGAAAGAAATCAGACGCCAAAGAATGCACACCAAGTGATTCCATTAAAAACAGATCATGGAGGCCGGGCGTGGCGGCTCACGCCTGTAATCCCAGCACTTTGGGAGGCCGAGACGGGCGGATCACGAGGTCAGGAGATCAAGACCATCCTGGCTAACACAGTGAAACCCCATCTCTACTAAAAATACAAAAAAATCAGCCGGGCACAGTGGCGGGCGCCTGTAGTCCCAGCTACTCGGGAGGCTGAGGCAGGAGAATGGCGTGAATCTGGGAGGCGGAGCTTGCAGTGAGCCGAGATCGCGCCACTGCACTCCAGCCTGGGCGACAGAGCCAGATTCTGTCTCAAAAAAAAAAAAAAAAAAAAAAAAGATGTTATAATGTCATAATGCCAAAGCTCTGATCTCAGAGGTTATGGTGCCAGAAGCCATGATGCCTCAAGACCTGATGTCAGAAGTCATGATGTCAGAAGTTACGATGTCGTGATGTCAGAAGTTATGATGTAGGAAGTTACAATGTCGTTATGTAGGAAGTTATGATGTCGTGATGTAGGAAGTTACGATGTCATGAGGTCAAGAGCCATGATGCCAGAGCCCTGATGTCAGAATTCATGATGTCATGTTCTCAGAAGTGGGGACAGTGGTTATTCTTTGGGGAATGTTGATGAGAAGAGGCACTTGAGGGACTTCCAGGGGCCTGTAGCTTTTTATTTCTTGATCTGAGTATGGCTTACACCAGTGTTTTCAGTTTATGAAGCTCTACATTTATAATATCTGTGTTTTATAATCCCTGGGTATGCCACACACTTTAATTTAAAAGTATGTTTAGAGAAAAGGGTTGCAGTCCTGGCCCTGCGTGAGGCTCCTCATGTGATCTTTGACAGCCCCCTTCTCCCTCTGGGCCTCAGTTTTCACATCTGCAAAGTGACGATCTGCGTGCAGCTGAAGGAGCACGGAGACTTTACGTCTCGTCCTGATGTCCAGGAGGGTGGAGGCCCTCTTTCCACCGTGTCTCTTTAAGAGGGGTTACCAATGCACTCTGCCAGGAGCCTGGAGGGGAGCAGGGTCTCTTCGAAGCCCACCCCTGGGACAGTGGCCCACACATGCAGGATGCAGACCTCGGTGGATGCCAGCACAGGGTGGAGGGGCCAGGGAGGCAGAGTCAGAGAGGCCACGGGGCCCACCGCCAGCATTAATATTAAAGGCGGTTCTGCACAAATGATCGCATCAGGCCTGGAAAACAGAGCAGCCAGCTTACATGGGAATGTTCTCACCACAGTCAGCCGTGCAGAACTCTCGTCTAATCAGTACTATTGAAACCTTTAATTTCCCTTATTTTGTGCAAGGCGAGAACTGGATATCAGAGGGATTTCTCCCAGAATCACATCCGCTCTTGCCAGTGTCTCCCCTGGGAGGCCTGATGGCCCCGGTGTGTGAGTGGGAACAGCAGCCCTATCCTCAGCGTTTATTTCCCCTGTGGCCAGTGAGAAAGGATCACCAGCAAGCCCGAGCCCAACCGTCTGCAGGCTGACCTTGACTTTGACCTTGGACCTCAAGGGGCAGGCATGGGAAGCTCATATTCCAGGCGTGGGGCTAAGAGCAGAGGCCTGCTGAGCCCCAGAGCTGAGGCCCCTGTCTTTACTGGACCAGCCCGCACTGCCCAGAGGCTCTCTTGGTGCCAACAGTGAGAAGCTGGGTGCCAAAGGCTGCACCATTGCTGCCCTGGGAAAAAGCAGCTCATTTAGCTGAAGGACACCCTGGCCCCTCTTTTCCCACGCTGCTGAGCCCACTCTCTTGCAAGCTGCCTCCTCCGGGCATCACCAGTGATCCCCATCTCCTGAGGCCTCCTCCCAGCCTCGGGGGGGCGGCTGCCCCAAGTCATATTATAAACTAGCATAAAGCCCGTGTAGGACCCGGGAAGCAGGTCCCTGAGCCAGGAGTCCCCATCCCTGCACAGCATGGCCCTGCTGAACCCCAGCTAGCAGGGGCTGTTCCCGCCTGCGCCTGCCCCTTCCCACCGGAGGACACACCTGACAGTGGGAGCTGAGCTGCGGTTTCCTGGCGCCCGCCAGGTGGGGCTCTTCCTGCGTGTGCACCTGTCCTCAGGCCACCAAGGAGTTACCGTCACTGTGTCCATTTCACAGAGGAGGAGACTGAGGCTCAGAGATGGGAAAAGGATCAGGCCAGGAGGTGGGGGAGAAGGATCCTGTGACTTGAGGCCCGGCACTAGAGTCTGCCTGAAATCATCAGCTGTAAGATTTCGCCTCTCATGACAGTAATAATGATAATAATAGTAACTCATTGAAAATAACTTTATGGTCCTTTTCCATGTATAGAAATACAGATGCTCAATGAAAAAAAAAAAATCCAGTCTTCCCAACTCTGCAATGTGCGTTTTCTAGTCTAAAATCTAAGTCTCCATTTATTGCTTCTAAAATGCTCCTCAGGAGAGTTTTGCCGTTTCCTTCAACAACTCTACCTTTCTCACTGAATTCCCCACCATCAGGATTTTATGTGTCTTTCTGCTATTGTGAATGAGATTTTCCCCCTTTATTTTCCTGTTTTCTAAGTGGATATCGGTGACTATTGACTAGTGTTCATTTTGTTATGCTAAGTGCTCCTGTTTCTTACAGCCTTGCAGTTGATCCTCTGTGTTTTCCAGATCAATCTCAAACCATCTGCAAAATATGGGAATTTTGCCTCTTTCCCATCTTTGTAGCTCTTATTTCATGATTTTTTGGTCTTCTGGGGAAAGGAACAGGCTCAGGTAAACAGCCAGGCTGGGGCACCCTCAGGGCAGCTGCGGATCACCCTATGCCGTCCCTCCACCCCGGTACCCACCCCTCCGGGAGTGAAGGCTGCCAGCCGAGATGCACGGTTGCTGGGAAGTGTATGGATGAGGCCCACCCAGGTCTGAGGCATCTCACCCTCCAAGGAGCGGATACTGCCTGCCCCCAGCAGGGGAATGCTGGCTGCTGCCATGGTGGCTGTGGGTGTGTGGTGACCGTCCAGGCCTCCCTGGGTGCTGCTGGGATGGGTGGGCCTGGTTTAGGGTTGATTTCTGGGGTTCCGGGGTCCCCCAGGGGCAGAAGTGTGATGGCACATGGTTCCGTCATGGCTGGCTGCTCTGTGGCTCACGCTGTCTGCCTTTCCTGCCCTGGTGAAGTGGTTGTTTTGTGATGTATTATTTCATTGAATTATATTGGTAGATTTCCTAATACTGAACTTGTTTTAAAGTGCTTGGAAACCTCAACTGAAGCCGAGAGGTGGTCGTTACACGTGTGAGTCTTTAATCTGCCACATGAAGTAATGTGTGAGGACGTTATTACCATAGCTGGTATGTTTCATTTCATGTGTATGTGCAACTTTTCAATGTTTTGGTGCAAATATTATGCTGGAATCCTAAGAAGAACACAGGGTTTTCTTTCTTTATGCTCATGAATAGGAAATTTTAATCATATTGTAAAGATTGGTGCACCAGCATTTTGAATTAGTGAATTTGTGATTTATCTGGGCGTAGAATTTCGGAGGTGAGTGGGCTGGGTTTTAATAGATTTCTCAATTTCTTCTGCGGTTAATAATAGTCTGCTTACTTTTCTGTTTCCTTTTGGTTAGTTGGGGCAATTCATATTTGCCTGGGATAATCACCCATATTATTTAGAATTTAAAGTATTTGCATGGAATCTGTAAATTATGCACTTGTGTGTGCTTCTGTCGTAACTGTTTCCCATGTCGTTAGACTCGTGTGCACGTGTGTGTCCATGCCGTCCTCACAGTTCCTGAATTAGGGTAGACACAGGCTTATTCACTGGTGAATTTCAAAGGCCCACCACACGAGCACGCTTTTGAGTCTCCTGCTTCAAATCACACACTTTTACCATCTTATTTTCTTCTTCTTGGTTCTTACATTTATCCTGTTCTTTTTATTTTCTTGAGTCTAATTTTGTCAGTTGAATGAATAATTTACTTGTTTGTATTTGGTTGTTGCTAACGTAATTGTTATCGCTGTGAATTTTTCTCTGAGACAGTTTTAGTCACATTGTTCGGGTTCTGATAGATCATATTCCATAATTGTTATTTGTGGTGGTTCTGAAATTTGGACTCTGTTGTCCCACTTGACCCAAGAATTGTTCAAGAGGCATTTTGTTTGCTTACTTGTTATTCAGGATGTTAGGGTTTCTGCTTCTACAATTGCTATTATTTTCTTCCTTTTGTGGATTTTGGCTGGAGAATATGGTCTAAGTGTTCTTGGGATTTGACATAAGTTCAAGTTAAAGAAGAGGTTTCACGGCTTCTTGAAGAGAGAGGCATTTCCCACTCCAGGTGTGATGTACCTGTCAGGATCCACTGCTGGGTCTCCCGATGCGTGTTTGGGACCCTGGGTTCACAGAGGGCCGCTGAGGTCCCCACTGCTGCGGGCTGCCTGGTCATCTTCAAATGATGCTGGAATCTCCACTCACGTACTTACCTCCATTCCTAAAATAGTATCGTGTTTTTCCTCTTTATTGTTTGTGCTATTGGGGAGGAGCCTATTATCAGAGGAAATGGATGCACATCGGACACCCTGGTCTGGCTTTATCAGGTTCGCATGCCCTTTCTTATCACCGCCTTTCCCTGCCCTTCCCCTGCCCCTCTCCACCCCTTTCCCTCCCTCCTTCTCCTTTTCTCCTCCCTTTTACTCCGTCCTCTCTCCTTCCCTGCTCCTTCTCCTTCCTTCCTGCATTTCCTCCCCCCTCCTTCCCTCCTGCCTCTCCTTCCCTCCTCCCTGTCTTTTCCGCCCTCTTCCCTCCCTCCGTTTCTCTCCTTCCCTCCTCCCTCCTCCCTTCCTCTCCACCTCCCACTCCCTCCCTACTCCTCCCTCCCTCTTTCCCATCTTCCCTCCTCTGCTCCCCCAGCCCTTAGCTTCAGAGATCTGAGGTCCTGTTCCTTAGCACCTGGGAAAGCTGGCCCCACAGACCCTCAGGTTCTCTCCACTCACCGACTGGTCCCCTTTCCTGCCAGTGCCTCTCTTGGTTCCCACCCTTCTCCATGGGCAGCCAATTTGCTGTGTTTGACATCTTTTAGTTTGTATGTTTTCTTGAAGAATCGGCCTGACTGTTACGGGTACGGGAGTCACCGTGCTCAAGAGGACCCTCTGTGTGGCCGCGTGCTCGTCCAGGGCGGGGCCTGCCCCACTGCGGAGCCCAGCCTTGAAGCTGCCATCTTTCCACGCTCACACCGAGGGCATTCAGGTTGCCTCCCAGTAATGCTTGGTCCAAGGAGTCCCAGACCGAACAGGAAACTTTAATGCTGATTATACCACATTCATCTTTTTAAAACTTGGTTCTCACTTGCCTCTGATTTGTGCTGTTGACATGTTGTTTAAAAAGCCTTGCCTCGCTCCTTGGCCATGGTTATATTCCCTTATATGAGGTTAAATTTGTAGCTTCACCTGTAGGTGACGGCCATGCCTGGTGTGGCTGGCTGTTGAGGTGCAGGGCGCCGCCGTCCAGCAGAGGCCAGTCCAGGAGCAGAGTCCAGAGGCAGCCTGCAGCCCCTGTCCAGAGGCCCTGAGGGGTCCGGGCCAGGGAGGTGGCCTGGCTGCAAGCCCAGCAGAGCAGGCACGTGGGCAGGACCTGGCCGCAGTCTCACGGGGCGGGCCCCTCCTTCTTCCCCGACGCTCCCCGCTCCCTCCCCACACAGGTGTGCGGGGCTGAGCCCCCGGTGAGTGTAGTGTTTCCAGCCTATGTGCCGGAGTCACCTAGGAACAAGCTCCTGAACTTGCAGCAGAATGTAGCTGCGGACGTTTTGAACACACCGGGGAACAAGCTCATGGATTCACAGCGGAATGTCGCTGCGGACGTTTTGAACACACTGTGGAACAAGCTCCTGAATTCACAGCGGAATATAGCTGCGGACATTTTGAACACACCGTGCAATGTTCTCTTTCTTCATTCATCCTTTTGCCAATTTCCTTAACAAATATTGAATTTCCACCATGACTCAGGCACTCCAGAGTGAACCAGGCCAGACCCTGTGCCCAGGTGCCTGTGCCAGAAATAATTGGGCTCTCCTGGGCCTCTAGGTCAGTTTAAAGTTAAGGGTCCGTGCATCATTGCTGTTAGAAAATTCCTGGAAAAAGTATTTGCATGTCTTTGGGGAAGAGAACCAGAGGAAAGGAATGGGTTTTCTCCCTGGACAGTGAGTGCCCTTCCCTGCGAGTGACCAGGACCAATGTGATGTGGCTGGGGCAGTGGGGCTGGAAGAGGAGTGGCAGCTGTGTTTGTCACAGGCCTGGCTGAGGAATTCTCTGTGGCTCTGAGCCCTCGCTCCTGCTCCTCAGGGGCTCCTGGCCCCTCTCCTGCTCAAAGCTTGCTCCCCCAGAGGGTCCAGGCAGCGAGACCTGGGTGTGGGCCGGCCTTCCCTGCCCTGCCAATGATGGCTGGGTGGTGGCAGAACCCCCTAAGGCCCAAGGAGTTCTGCTCAGTGCAAGACTCATCATCTGGCCACACTGCAGGTCCGCAGGGGACAAGGCTCCAGGCACAGGAAGACCCAGCTCCCATGGCCTGGCCCCCGAAGGCTCGACCCCGGGGACAGACTCTGGGAAACTCTCTCAGCTGGAGGCTTTCCGTGCAGCTGGAGTTTAAACAGCCCAAGGCTCCGGGCTGTCATCTCCGCCCAGGATTAGCTGCTGCTGGAGACTTCCTCTCGTGGGCCCCGTGCTGGGGCTGTACAGCTTCCTACCTCACGCCATCTCTGTGGTCACAGGACGCTGAGTGGAGAAAATAAAACCCACGCAGGGACGGCAACCATCGTGGGGATACGTGGGGCTGCGCTCAGGTCTGCAGAGGCCGAGGCTGGACAGGGTGGGCCCTGCTTCCTCGTCAGCAGCGGGAGCCCCGTGACCCCCAGCACGCGGTTCAGAGTGGAGAAACTGCCGGGTGACCACGCTGAGCTTCCCCTTCCTTCCCCTTGTCCAGGCTCAGCAGGGGCTCTGGGCTGATCCTACTCTTCCCACTGGAGGGAGCCGTGGGTGCTGGGGGCTCTGGGGGCCTCCTGGCCTCTGGGTGGTCGTGGGCTGCTGGCTTAGGGTGAGGGCACCAGGATCCGGGCTCAGGGACGTCTGTGCCCGCCGTTCCCACTTCCCTTCGACCTCCCCCACCTGATTTCTTCTCTGCCCTCCCCTCCCTGCCGCTAAGGAGTCTTTGGCCTCTGCTGATCTTCTTTAAACTCCCTGCTGCAGCGGTTCACGGAAACTTCCCAATTACCACATGATGACACTGGCAATGGCTTCTCACGTTCTCTGTGGCCAGACTGTGCTCAACACTCCAACCATTATCTCGTTTACCTCAGAAACGTCCCTAAGCTGCGGGCAGGGGCAGTGTCGTGGTGACCGTTCCTCCCTTTTCCAGGCGACTAACCTGGGGTTCCAGAGGTCGGCCCTTCTTTGTCCTGGTGGACGGCCTAAGGCCGAGGTGTCCGACCCGGGACCGAGTGTCCCTGTCACAGGAGACTGGCTGACACCTGCATGCAGTTTATTCCAGCCAAGACAGCCACGCCAAAGGACCACGCCGACGGGAGGAGAGGTGGGTTGAGGTGTGCCAGTCAGGTGAGACTCAGGTGGCAACTCCACAAAATGCTGGAGTTAACAGCGTGACTCACAGATCCAGAGAGAAGAGGGCAGCCCCCTCGCAGGGCTGGTGGTGGGAACGGGGCGCTGTCTTGGACGCACACAGCCAGAGGGACAGGGGCTGTGGTCAAAGCCTTCACTGGGGTCCAGGGTATTGCCCAAGCAGGTTCCCACAGGAAGCTCTGGTGGGTGCACTCAGCCAGTGGGCCACAGCCCCACGAGGTCACACTGGAACTGGGAGGGGTCTGCTGTGGGACAGCTACACAGTCCTTGCAGGGTGTGGGGTCTGGGCGAGTCCTGTGGGCTGTCCCATAGCGGGGTGGTCACCAGGAGACGTCTGAGTAAGGCAGGTGTCTGGAGGGACCACCCTGAGATACTGGGGGAAGGCAGAGAACTGGAAACTGTGTCAAGGGTGACTGAGCCCCGATTCTGGGAGGACAAAGCCCCAAATGGGTGCTGAGGGAACACGACATCGTAAGAATTCCGCACAGACGCTTCAGTGCTGCTGATGAGAGAGGGCGTCAGGCTGTGAGCGTGTCAGAGTCTGGGGGGTGTAAAATTATTGCACGTAAATAATCAGGAAACAGCTGCCTAGAATAACCTTTATATTGGAAAGTGTGCTTTGAGGTCATTATGCCAGATTTTATGGCCATTTCTTGGCTGAGCCCTGGGATGGCTTATGTCTTTGCAGAAAGGCATCATCACATTTTATGAATGACAGATGGCTTTTACCACACCTTTGCATGATCGCTTATGGTAATAGGACTGCGGTGCCCTGAGACGTGGGGATCTGCGTGAGTGCCCCCGGCAAAGTCTGCTCTTCCGGCCTCGAATCTGGATCCCAGGTGAGGCCTGAGGGTTTTATTTCTTCCTCTGATCTCCCTGCCGGCGGGGCCACTGTGGCAGGACAATTCGGGGCCCCGCCCCCCAGATGTGCAGGTGCAGGCCAGTCTCGGGGGGATCGGCGGCTCCCGGGGGGCTGTGTCGGGGGGATCGGCGGCTCCCGGGGGGCTGTGTCGGGGGGATCGGCGGCTCCCGGGGGGCTGTGTCGGGGGGATCGGCGGCTCCCGGGGGGCTGTGTCGGGGGGATCGGCGGCTCCCGGGGGGCTGTGTCGGGGGGATCGGCGGCTGCCGGGGGGCTGTGGGATGGTGCCCCCGTCCCAGGGCTCCCGCACGGGAGGGCTTTGCACGTCCACCCCTCCTTTCCTTGACCAAACCCGGTTCTTATCCAGTCTTGTCTCTTCCTTTCTTTCTTTCTAAGCCCCCATGACCCAAGTCGGGGCTCTAGGGTGAGGGCTGCGTGTTCTGCTCCATGCAGCTGTCTGGACACTGCTGGACGAGGGCCTGTCTCCTGCGGGCTCCCACCCATTGTGGCGCAGGTTTACCCAGCCCTGCTTCACCAAAACATGACTTTATAAAGAAGAGTTATTTCTCAAACTGGGAGAAATCACTGCATTTGGTCAAACAATTATATATATATATATATATATATTTTTTTTTTTTTAACACAGAGTCTTGCTCTGTGGCCCAGGCTGGAGTACAATGGCGTGATCTCAGCTCACTGCAACCTCCGCCTCCTGGATTCAAGTGATTCTCCTGCCTCAGCCTCCTGAGTAGCTGGGATTATAGGCGCGCGCCACCACGCCTGGCTAATTTTTGTAATTTTAGTAGAGACAGTGTTTCACCATGTTGGTCAGGCTGGTCTCGAACTCCTGACCTCATGATCCACCCATCTCGGCCTCCGGAAGTGCTGGGATTACAGGGGTGAGCCAGCACGCCCGGCGGATTTATATTTGTAAAATCAGCTCTGCTCTGCTAAACAAATAATTAAAGAAAAGGTGAACACAAGACAGTGTAGACTGTTTAGGTGGCACCAAGAGAACCAGGGCCAGGGGTTGAGCCAGGATGAACACCAGGGGTCAAGGCCACAGCCAGGAGGGCCAAGGTGGGTGCCAGCTGTTGTGGGTGAGGCCAAGCCGGAGTGGGATCAGGGGTGACACTAATCCCTGGAGGAGAGACAAAGAGGGGGATGGGGGCTCAGGGAGTTGGGCCTTGAGGGACTTGCTATCTGATGAAAGGACGGACACGACCCACCAGATGAGGTGGACGGGCCTGGTAAGTGCCTGTCAAGGGTGGTGTGGAACAGAGAGGGGGCTCCTGTCTCACAGTGGGCAGCAGCCCAGCGTCTTTGAGACGGCGTGGAGATGGGCCTAGATCCTAGATGCTGAGAGGAGGCGTCCACACGGCTGAGGGAGGCCAGGCAGAGGCCATAGTGTGGGTGAAGGCCAGAGAATGGGCGAGCTCAGGGAACTGGGGGCCTCGGGGCAGAGCCCGGAGCAGAATGATGGGTGTGGGTGCAGGTGGGGCACAGGCTGGAGGTGTTGGGAAGAAGCCTGCGAGCCTGGTGCTGAGTGCCTGGCTAGCACCGAGTTCACCCGAGGAGCTCCTGAGTGTGGAGGGGAGATGGGGCTGGACCGGGACACTGGTGAGTCCATTCCTGGATGGGCAGAACTCAGCCACAGAGACCAGCCAGCAGGTTATGGGAAAGAGCCCCTGTGGAGGGCAAGGAGGGCGAGGGAGGGAAAAGGGTCTGCTTCGCTTTTTCCCGAGGACGTTGAAGGAAGGGAGAGGGCTTATGGAGAAGAGCAGGCCTCCATGTCCAGAGCAGGAATCCGAAAGTGGAATGTGTTTGCCAGATATTCTCTCTCCTCTGTCTCTCCCACTTCTCTCTGCCTGTATCTCTGTCTCCTCTTTGTCTCTCCCTCTCCCTCTCTGTCTCCTCTTTGTCTCTCCCTCTCCCTCTCTGTCTCCTCTTTGTCTCTCCCTCTCCCTCTCTGTCTCTGTTCTCGCTGCAGGAGCCCGTCCATATCCCTCATCCAGCAAACTCCATGGCCATGCAGGGCTCCTCAGGACACTGCAGTTGTGCCCTGTTTAAAACAATAACTGTTTCTCAAGTTTCTTGGAGTGAAGCCACCATGACCTTTGCAACAGACGAAGCCTACACTTTTTCCAAGTGTGACTCAAAGGACAAAAGGTTCATGCACAAGGCAGTTCTAAAAGTGGATGGGTAATTGCTGGTTCTGCTTCCTGTAAGGATTTTGTAAGATCACACCAAACCCACTCCCTTACAGAAAACAGCTTCAAAATCTGTACACAATGCAAACAGGCTGCTTGTGGGCGTTGGAGAGTGAACAGCAAGACGGACCTGGGGTGTACACGGGGGATAAAGGAGTTGCAGGAAGCACGTTCTCTTTGACCGTGGCTGTTAGCCTGAGCACTATGTAGTTAGGGCATGAGGAGCTGGGGGTCCTCAGGGAAGACCACAGTCTTCATGGCCTGGAACAGGAGCAGGACGAAATTGGGGAAGCTGTGGCCAGTGGAGGGGGGGAGCGTCCAGAAGGGGAAACTTGGCGGACTCTACTCATGTTTCCGACTGGCCCTGAACTGCACACACTCAAAGCAGATAAAAGAAGCCCAGCTAAAGGCTGGTACAAAATGACCTTCTTTATAATGCTGGTTGTGTTCATTGTTCAATATTAATATAGCTGTTCCCGCTTTTTTTTTTTTTGACTAGTGTTAGTACAGTGTATCTTTTAAAATCCCATTAGTTTTCATGTATTTGTGAATTTATATTTAAAGTGGGTTTTGGGTAGGCAGCAATTAGTTGGGTCTTGCTTTGTTATTAAGTCTGACAAACTGCCACTGAATTAGACCAATGGTTATAGATCATTTTCATCTACCATCACTGTTGATAATGGTTGGACTTAAACCACCATCTTGCTATTTGCATTTTATTTATCCTGTCTACTTTTTGTTTCCTGTTCCTCTTAGCCAGCCTTCTTCTGGACTGGGTATTTTTTAATCATCCCATTTAATCACTTCTGTTGGCTTATTCCCCATAACTCTGTCTGTACATATGTATGTGTGCGTGTGTGTGTATACATTTTAGGGTTTATAGTGTGCACCTTCAACTTATCATAATCTATCTTCAAATAATATTACACTACATCATGATGGTTTAATAACCTTACAGCAGCACACTTCCATTCCCTGCCCTCCTTCATGTCCTTGTGGGCACATATTTTATTTCTCTACATGTTCTATACCCAGCAAAACATGCTTTTCCTTCCTGTGCTTCTATCGGGTCTCCTATAATGTCATTTTCCTCTTGTCCAAAGGACTTTCTTTAATATCTCTTAGTGCTTATCTGCTGGTATGATTAATATTTTAGCTTTTATATGTCTGAAAAACTTGATATCTCACCCTGTTTCTACCTTTGTTGCCAGGTACAGAATCACAAATCAACAGGCTTTTCCCGGCAGTACTTTGCAGAGCTTGTTCCACTGTCCTCTAGCTCGCCTCATTTTCAAGGAGAAACCTGTCGTCATCCTTGTCTTTGTTCCTCTGTACCCAGCACGTCTCTTTTCTTCTGCCTGCTGTTAAGATTGTCTCGTTCTTACCCAGTTTAAGCAGTTTGGTTAAGATGTGCCTTCTTCGTACTTCATACTTTTTGGACTGGGATATGTAGCTTTTAAAAAGCAAATTTCAAAAGATTTCAGTCATTATGTCCTCCTTTTTTTTCTGTTTTTTTTTCTTTGTTTTCTTTCTGGGACTCTAAATGTATGAATTTTAGGCCAATTGAAGTTGCCCCCCAATTAGCTTTCTGCTCCTTTTGAAGGGGTCTATTTTCTGTCTGTGTTTCACTTTGGATGGTTTCTATTATATACCTTTAAGTTCATTAATCTTTCCTTTTGTAGTGTCTGTCTAATCTCATCATCTCATCCAGTGAATTTTCTTTATCTCAGAAATGGTTTCATCTCTAAAAGTTAGAATTGGGACTTTTTAATGTTTTTCATATCTCTGCTTAACGTTATCATGTGGAATAGAGTGATAATAACTACAGTTCATCTGTGTCTAGGAATGCCCTCATCTGTGCCATTTGTGAATTAGTTTCAATTTGTTGATATTCCTCATTACATGATGTGTTTTCCTGCCTCTTTGCATACTTGGTGATTTTTTACTGTATGCTAGACATCATGTACTTTTCCTTGTTAGATCCTGGATAGTTTTGCACTCCTAAAATTATTTTAAAACTTTTCAGGGATGAAGTTACTTTACTTGGAAACAATTTGATATATTTGAGGCTTGATTTTAAGCTTTTTTGGGTGGGGCCTAAATTAGTCTAGGACTGATTATGCTCTACTACTGAGGTGATACCATGCTGAAAAAGCTTAATAAGGAGAAAGATCAATCAATAAATATTCACGTATATTCACAAAATATAATGAGGAGAAAAATCAATCAGTAAATATTCACGTAACCCTAAAAAAAGTTAAGAAATGAGAAACAAAGGGGGGAACTGGAGGGTATGTATAGAGAGCGAGGCATAAAATTACAGACCCAGACATAACCATGTCAATACTTATTTAAATATGAGTGGACCAAAGATTTCAGGTAAAACGCAGAGGTTGTCAGAATAGATATGAAAACAAGACCCACACACATGCTGTCTTCCAAAATTGCACTTGAAGAACAGAGACACAGGTAGCTTTAAATGACATTAAAGTTAAAGCATAAACACTGGAAAGGGAGAAGAAGAACTGCCTCTTTATGCAGATATCATGAATCATGTATGAGGAAGTATCTTAAGAAACTTACAAACAACTAGCATAGGCACTGAGAAAGCGTGGTCTACTCATCAACCACAAACAGGAATGAAGCCCTAACATGCCACAATATGGATGAACCTTGAAACTGAAAACATGATGAGTGAAAGAAGACGGACACAAAGGGCCGCATGTTATATGATTCCAGTTATACGAAATGGGCAGATCTAAAGAGGCAGAACGCAGGTTAGTGGTGACAGGAGCTGGGGGAAGGGAGGAACAGAGAGTGACACCTCGATTGATGTGGTGTCTCCTTTCTTGGTGATGCGAATGTCCTGGGGCCGACAACGTGGTGAACGCACTGGATGCCACTGAATTGTGCACTTCAAAATTGTGAAAATAGTGAATTTTATAATATGTGAATTTTACCACCATAAAAACCAAACTATTAGTACAAATAAAATTAGTTTAGCCAAGTTGCAGCATTTAACTTTCATAGAAAAATCGATTGTATGTCTTTGCTCATCAATATACTACCGTGCCACTTATGGTCCTTTTGAAGAAATGAGACAGCTGATGCTAAGATTTACATGGAAAGACAAAAGGGTTAAAATATCCAGAAACAACTTTGAAAAATAAGAACAAGGTTGTGGGGCCCACGCTACTTGATTTCAAAAATTACTATACAGGTATGGTAATCACGACAGTGTGGTTTTGGCATCAGGAAAGACACAGAGGCCAACTGAGCCGAAGGGGAAGTCAGAAAGACCCACATTTATATAGTCCCTTGATTGCTGGTAAAGGTAAAAATTTAATTCTTTCAGAACTAGCTGTTTCAATAAATGGTGCCAGGATAAGTTGATATCTACATGGAAAAACAAAATAACCTTCAAGCCTTACCTCCCACCACATGCAAAATTATCTTGAGATGGATCATGGACTGAAAATTATTAGAACTTTTAAAGTTCTAGAAGAAAACATACAGAAGAATTTTTATGACTTGGGCTAGAATAAACATTTTTTAGAAACAAGATGTGAAAGCACAGATGATAAAAAATGATAAAACAAATTCAGCAAAATTGAAAAGGTTGCTCAAAATTAAACAGAGTTAAGGGAATGCAAAAGCAGACTACAAACTGGCAGAATAATTTTACAAAATCCACATCTGACAATGGGCTTGTACTCAGAATATATGAAGATATCTTATAAATCAATAATTTGAAAACTGCAGTTAAAAATTGAAAAGGACTTGGACAAATACATGACAAAAAAGATATATGACCCATAGGCACATGAAAAAATGATCAACGTCACTTGCCATCAGAGGAGTACACATTAAAAGCAGTCTAAAGTTAAAAAGATTGACAATACTAAGTGTTGACAAGGATATAGAACAATGGGAATTTACATACAATTTAAATTGGAATGCATGAAATTTGGTTGGAATTTTAAATGGAAATACTTTGGAAAATGGACTGACACTATCTAAGAGGTAAAACATTCACTTACCACATGACCCAGCAATTCCAATCCTAAATATTTACCCCAGGAAAATGAAAACATATGTCCACACAAAGACGTGGACACAAGTGCTCACACCAATGTTATTTGTAATACATCCAAACTGCAAACAGCCCAAATGCCCATCAACAGGCAAGTTGGTAACCTACGGTGCATGCATATTATGAGATACTACCCATTAATAAAAAATGAACAAAATATTAAGCCTACACGACATGGATAAGTCTTGAAATCATCAAGTTAAGTGGAAGAGATAGAGTACTGTTCCATGTCTATGAGCTTCCAGGAAAGGCAAAGTTACAGGGACAGGAATCAGATCACTGTCTGCCTGGGGCTGGGAGCTGGAGGAGGGAATCTAAAGGGGCAGGAGAACACTTTTTAGGAGAATGAAATGTTCCACATCTTGACTGTGGTAGATGTTACATGACTGTATACAACTGTCACATGAATGGGCTTTACTGTTTGTGAATGAAACCTAAACAAGCTAGCGAAAGAAACAGAAGGAGCATGGGCCGGCTGAAGCCGTGTCTGCAGGTGGGTGCTGGAGGCCCTGGAGCCGCGTGGCACAAGCCACAAACCTCAGGTGTCTCCCGTGGGTGGCTGGGGAAGATTAAGGCAACCCTCAAGAAGCCCACCAAGGCGCCACTGGGGGCTCCTGTCTTGGGGCTGTGTGGGGCCAGCCTGGGGAGGCGGGAGCCTCATAAGAGTCCCCTGAAAGCTACTTCATTTCCAAGCAGAGAAGGGGGTGGGGGTGGGGGGTGCAACACAGAAGGGTCTTGATGGAGAGGGTGTCTGCACAGCACAGTGATTACAGCCCAATCAGGGGTCAGACTTCCTTCGTGGACAGCCTGGTTCTCACCTGCATTCGCTGTGTGACCTTCAGAAAGTGACCTACCGTCTCTGTGCCTAGTCTGCTCTTTAGTAAAAGATGGCTAATGAAGTGGCTACCTTACTGGGCCCTTGAGAGAATGAGATGAGAGAATACAGGTACAGCACTGAGAGCAGCACTGGGATACAGTAGGTGTTCATAAATGGCACCTGCTATCATTATTAGTGATCTAGGAATAGGACCTTAGCTTAAACCCCACTGTGAGAAAAAGGGAAAAGCAAGGAGGAGAGGCTTGTCCAAGGCAGCAATCCCATCTTCCAGACACCAGGCCAAGAGTTCTGGAGCCCGAACACAGGCGTGGCAGAGAGCCTTTGCTGCCCTTCCCCTGCCCACGGGGCGGAGGGGAGATCTCGGGCCCCACAGCTCCTGAGCAGGGCTCGGGGGTCACCCTCAGTGCTGGCAGGGAGTGCGGAGTTGCTTTGACTCACTCAGGAGTAGGTTTGAGCCCTGGTTCCTTTCCTTATCACTCAGAGGCCGATGGCGCAGTAGCTGCCTGAGGAACACACAGCCTTTGCAAGTCTTTGGGAAACAGGAGAACTGTCTTCCTTTGTCCGAGAAGCACTCAAGCTGACGGACAGTGGTGCTGCTACTTGCTGCTATTTCTCTCCAAACTTTGGGACTGCGGCCACAGCGGCGGCCACAGCTGTTATTCCTTGTGTCTGCCAAGGGTCTGAGAGTGGCCTGGCGATTCAGCTGTTCCCTGCCCACAGCCCACCCTACGGGATGGGGCCAGTGATGTCGGATCCCTGGTGGTCCTGGTTCTGGCTATCGCTGGAGGGGACACAGACTCCACCTGCGTTGAGCGTGCCGCTCCCTGTGTTCTCCATCTCCATGTTCCCACCTCTTCCTGCTCTTTTCCCCGTGCTTTCAGCTACCTAAGGGTCGCCACTTACCGTCCCTGCAGAGTGCAGAGATTTCTCTTTGAAGAAAAGGTTCTGGAGCAATCAGAGGGGTGAGTGTGGATGCAGCCAGCCCCAGCCCTATGCTGCTCCTCAGACTAATGGTGCTGAAGGCTAAGAGAACGAATAAATGGTAGTGAGCGTTTTTCTCATTAGGGTTTTAAAATCCTCCAAGTAATAGATCATTTTGTAGCATCTTACATGTCCTGCTTATCCTAATAATGTGTTATTACTGAATCTCAATAATTTTAATGGGGAAATTCTTTATCTTAAAAAATGTGAAGTGGCTATCCATTTAAAAAGTGTTAACGAGGTAACTCCAAGGGTTTCAATGAACAAGGAGGCCCATAGCTGTAGTGACCCAGTGCCTTCGTGTTTTAGACACTAGCTGAGATCTGCACACTGGAGCCATGGCCGTGGAGGGAGCAGTGACCAGGACCTGCCTCCCGCAGTTGGGGGCCTTTGGTGCTCAGCCCAGGCTTCTGTGCTGGGATGCAGGGCCAGTCTGTTCACACAGACCAGGATAGGCCCTGGACGCGTGCACAGACAAACCCCCACAGGGGTTCATTTTATCTGGGGTGTGGCAGGGAATCATGAGCTGAACAGAGATGCTGGATGCCGAAAACAGCCTCTGTCCCTGCCTCTCTGCCAGCGCTTGCTGTTTGCCTGGAAACAATCCCTCTCCTTCCTTGGCTGCAGTTTTCTCACCCATGAAGACGTGTTCAATGCAGACGTACCGAGTTTCCTCTGGGTCTTCCTGGTTGCCTGGCGTCTCCAAGTGCTCATTTCTCTTCCTTGCTCTTGCCCACCCCACGGGCCCTTCCCCCGTGAGCGAGCTTCACAGACACACACAGACACTAGTGGTTTGGGGTCCTTAGTTGAGGCCATCTTAACTGGCTTCCCTCACCTCCCGAGTGGCAGGCTAGGAGGAAGCGGTGGTTTATTACAGGGACAGATCACACTGTGCCAGGGAAGGCCAGGAAAATATATTCCCATTTTACTTCCTCTAATAATCTCCTATTTTCATCAGTGGGTGAGTGAACATGGCTTCTTCTTCCCAATGATGGTGCAAATGTATAATTTCTCCCAATGAAATCTGATTTTAATGAGAGACTAAATCAGAGGAAAGAGTATTATTTAGATAGTATATGCACATGTCAGGTTAATTTAAAATCAGCTTTTAGGTCAATCTATCTTAATTATTCTATTAACCGTTTTTGACTAGCAATTCCAATAATTGTGTTTGCGTAATACTTGGCAGTGTAATTGCTTTTTGGATTCTCTTCATTGTTTTGTCAGAGTCTGTTCCTGGGCCTCTGTCCCTGGTGAGCTGTGCTTGGGTTGAGTGTGTGCTTGGGTTGTGTATGCACATTCGTGCAACTGCACATGTGCTTGGGTTGAGTGTGTGTGTACAAGTGTGTGTGTGTGCACATGCTTGGGTTGAGTGTGCAGATGGACGTGCATGTGCATGCATACCTGGGTTGTGTGTGTGTGCACATGTATGTATCTGCTTATGTGCTCTAGTTGAGCATGCATGGGTGTCTATGTGCACATGTGCTTGGATGGAGTGCATGTGTACATGCACATATGTGCAGAAGTGCTTGCATAGTGTGTGTGCATGGGTATCATGTGCATGTGTGCTTGGGTTGAGTGTGTGTGCACATGTGTACATGGGTGCATGTGCTCAGGTTGAGTATGTGCATGTGCACACGTGTTTGGGTTGACTGCATGGGCATGGGCATGCAATGCATATGTGTTTGCATCATGTGTGTGCACAGAAGTGCATGTGCTTGCATTGTGTGTGCATGGGTATGCATGTGTGCACGTGCTTGTGTTGAGCATGTGTGCATGTGCTCAGGTTGGGTGTGTCATGGGTGTAAGGTGCACACGTGTTTGGGTTGACTGTGGGCACAGATGCACACATGCATGCATGCTTGGGTTGAGTGTGTGTGCACAGGTGTGCATGTGCACATGTGCTTGGGTTGAGTGTGTGCCTGGGTGTCATGTGCACGTGTGCTTGAGTGTGTGCATGGGTGTCATATGCACATGTGCTGGGGGAGGTGCTTCCCTGATTATTAATGAATGTATTTTCATGGGGTTTATTGATATCAAGGACCCCTGTCTTTATTTTTTATTTTTAAAATAAACTTCATTTTAGAACATTGTTAGATATAAAGAAAAATTGTGATGATAGCACAGAGTTCCTGTATACTCCACACCCAGGTTCCCCTACTCTTACCCTGTCACATTATACTGTACCTTTGTCACAGTGAATTAGCCCATGTCGATACAGTAGTAGGAACTAAAGTCCATACTTTATTCACATTCCCTCAGTTTTCCCTTAATATCCATTTTCTACCTCAGAATCCAAAGTATGATGTTACAGTTGGCCCTCATGTCTCCTTAGGGCCCTCGCAGCTGTGACAGATTCTCAGACTTTCCTTATTTTTAGTGATCCTGACAGTTTTGAGGAGGACTGGTTGGGTATTTTGTGGAATGTCCCTCATTTGGGACTTGTCTGATCTTTTTCCTGTGATTAGTTTGGGGTCACGGGTTGTGGGGAGGATGGAAAGTGACCTTCCCACAGCATCACACCAACGTCCTTGCTGTCTGCGTGACTTGTCACCGGTGATGTCAACCTCGGCGATGTGGCTGAGGCAGAGGTTTCCAGTTTTCTCCACTGTAAAGTTGCTCTTTTTCCCTTTTCATACTGTATTATTTGGAAGGAAGACACTCTGCAACGCTTATACCTTTAATTGTTTATTGATGCATAACATTTTACATATTTATGGGGTGCATGAGATATTTGGATACGCGCATGCCATGTGTAATGATGGAATTGGGGTATTTAGGACGTTCATCACCTCGAACGTCTATCCTTTCTTCATGTTGGGAACATTTCAAATCTTTTCTTCTCGCTATTTCAAAATATACAGTATGTTGTTGTTAACTATAATCCCCTCACTGTGTTATCAACACTAGAACTCACCCCTCCTACCAAACCGTTTATTCGTACCCATTAACCACCTTCTCTTCATTCCCTCCACCCGCCCCCCACTATTTTTTAAACAGCTTTACTGGGTTATAATTCACATACCATGCAATTCACCCATTTAAAGTGTACAATGGTTTTCAGTATATTCACAGAGTTCTACAGCCATTACTACAGTCAATTTTAGAAAATTTTCACCACCTCAAAAAGAAACTCCACACCCTTTAGCTACTCTCAGCCACCAGCCCTGCCCCCACCCCCAGCCCTAAAGAACCACAAATCCTCTTTCTGTATCTATGGGTTCTGCACGTTTCTCAAAATGTAAACATATAGTGCGTGGTCTTTTGCGACTGGCTTCTTTCACTTCGCATAATGTTTTCAGGCTCATCCACCTTGTAGCCTGTGTCAGCACTTCATTTCTTTTTTCTTTTTCTTTTTTTTTATAAGTACTTCATTCTTTTTCATGGCCAAATAACATCCTGTTGTACGGATACACCACATCTTCTGTAGCCATTCGCCAGTCACGTGTATCGGGGCTGTTTCCATTGTTTGGCTTTATGAGTGGTGCTGCTACAAACGTTTGTGTTCAAGTTTTTATTTGGATGTACTTTTTTGTTGTTTGTTTGTTTGTTTTGAGACAGTCTCGCTCTGTCGCCCAGGCTGGAATGCAGTGGTGCGATTTCGGCTCACTGCAACCCCTGCCTCCTGGGTTCAAGCGATTCTTCTGCCTCAGCCTCCCGAGTAGCTGGGACTGCAGGCATGTGCCATCACGCCCAGATAATTTAGTATTTTTAGTAGAGATGGGGTTTCTTCATGTTGGTCAGGCTGGTCTCGAACTCCTGACCTCGTGATCTGCCTGCCTCGGCCTCCAAAAGTGCTGGGATTACAGGCATGAGCCCCTTAGCCTGGCTGGATGTATGGTTTTAATTATCTGGGACGCACACCTAGGGGGGGATTGCTGGGCCATGTGGTCACTCTATGTTGAACTCATTTTCAGCGCCTTTTCATTGTTTTTGTCTGCACTATTTTCTTTCCCAAAGAAGGTTCCTGTTTCTTAAGTCCTTGTCAAGACTATTTTCTGTCTTTTTGAGGATCACCCTCCTAGTGTATGAGGTAGCATCGCCCTGTGGTCTTGATTTGCTTCTTCCTAATAACTAATGATGTTGAGCATCTTTTCTTGCACTTACTGGCCATTCGTACATCTTCTTTTGAGAAGTGCCTATTCAAATCCTTTGCCCATTTTAAAATGGGGTTAATAACCCTTATTTTATTTGAGTTTTAAGTGTTCCTTACATATTCTGGATATGAGTCCCTTATCAGATACAGCAGGTCCCATTTACCTGGTGTCCTGGTTTCCACAGTTTCAGTTACCTGTGGTCAGCCATGGCTTGAAAATACGACATGGAACTGTGCATTGTTCTGAGTAGCACAGTGAGACCTTGCTCCAGCCCAAGCTATCCCTCCCAGCTGTGAACCATCCCTTTGTCCACTGTATCCACACTGTATAGACTGCTCCTTCCTTAGTCGTTACACTGTCTGCTCCTGACATCCAGCCATTGCTCATCATGGCTTGGTGATCCTCCTTCCGATCATTCATCGGAAGGTCAACAGCATCCTAAGACAATGTCACAATGCCTGCGTGATTCACCTCACCTCACCTCACCTCCTCCCGGAGGCAATTCCGTCATCTCACATGATGACAACAAAGAGGGGTGAGAACAGTACAATAAGGTATTTAGAGGGGTGAGTACAGTACATTAAGGTATTGAGAGAGAGAGCGATAGAGAGGTCACATTCACATAAGTCTTATTACGGCATATTTTTATCATTGTTCAATTTTATTATAGTTATCCTTGATAATCTCTTCCTGTGCCTAATTTATAAATTAAACTTTATCACAGGTATACATATATGGGAAAAAACAGTATATACAGTGTTTGGTAATCTCTGTGGTCTCAGCCATCTACTGGGGGCCTTGAGATGTATTGCCTGCAGATAAGAGGGGATTACTCTAGAAGATTTCCTAATATTTTCTCCTTTTATGTGGGTTATCTTTGCACTTTCTTAATGGCATTGGTTGTAGCACAGAAGTTTTTAATTTTAGTGAAGTGTCATTTATCTCTCTTTTCTTTTATCACTTGTGCTTTTGGTGCCATATTGAAGAAATCATTGCCAAACTCAGGCCATAAGGATTTCCTCCTATGTTTTCTTCTAAGAGTGGTTTTGTATGAATCCATTAATATGCTGTATTACATTGATTGGCTTTTGGATATCAAATCAACCTTGTGTTCCTGGGATAAATCTCATCTGGTTTTGCACATAATTCTTTTTATATGTTGCTGGATTTGATTTGCTAGTATTTTGTGGAGGATTTTTGCATTTATATTCTTAAGGATATTGGTCTGTGGTTTTCTTGTAATGCCTTTCATCTCAAAGTATTTTCTAATTTCCGTTGTGATTTCTTCTTTGATCTGTTGGTTATATAACAGTGTGTTGTTTATTTTACACATTTTGGTGAATTTCTCAAATTTCCTTCTGTTATTGATTTCTAACTTAATTCCATTGTGGTTATGGAGCCCACTTTGTATGATTTCAGTCCTTTGAAATTTATTGAGACTTTCTCTGTGGCCCAACATGTGGTTCTTCCTGGAGCAAGCTCCAGCACACTTGAGAAGTGTGTGTGCTCTGCGGTTGCTGGGTGGAGTGCTCTGCGGATGTGGTTGCTGGGTGGAGTGTTCTGCAGATGCGGTTGCTGGGTGGAGTGCTCTGCGGTTGCTGGGTGGAGTGCTCTGCGGATGCGGTTGCTGGGTGGAGTGCTCTGCGGATGCGGTTGCTGGGTGGAGTGCTCTGCGGATGCGGTTGCTGGGTGGAGTGCTCTGCGGATGCGGTTGCTGGGTGGAGTGCTCTGCGGATGCGGTTGCTGGGTGGAGTGCTCTGCGGATGCGGTTGCTGGGTGGAGTGCTCTGCGGATGCGGTTGCTGGGTGGAGTGCTCTGCGGATGCGGTTGCTGGGTGGAGTGCTCTGCGGATGCGGTTGCTGGGTGGAGTGCTCTGCGGATGCGGTTGCTGGGTGGAGTGCTCTGCGGATGCGGTTGCTGGGTGGAGTGCTCTGCGGATGCGGTTGCTGGGTGGAGTGCTCTGCGGATGCGGTTGCTGGGTGGAGTGCTCTGCGGATGCGGTTGCTGGGTGGAGTGCTCTGCGGATGCGGTTGCTGGGTGGAGTGCTCTGCGGATGCGGTTGCTGGGTGGAGTGCTCTGCGGATGCGGTTGCTGGGTGGAGTGCTCTGCGGATGCGGTTGCTGGGTGGAGTGCTCTGCGGATGCGGTTGCTGGGTGGAGTGCTCTGCGGATGCGGTTGCTGGGTGGAGTGCTCTGCGGATGCGGTTGCTGGGTGGAGTGCTCTGCGGATGCGGTTGCTGGGTGGAGTGCTCTGCGGTTGCTGGGTGGAGTGCTCTGCGGTTGCTGGGTGGAGTGCTCTGCGGATGCGGTTGCTGGGTGGAGTGCTCTGCGGATGCGGTTGCTGGGTGGAGTGCTCTGCGGATGCGGTTGCTGGGTGGAGTGCTCTGCGGATGCGGTTGCTGGGTGGAGTGCTCTGCGGTTGCTGGGTGGAGTGCTCTGCGGTTGCTGGGTGGAGTGCTCTGCAGATGCGGTTGCTGGATGGACTGCTCTGTGGTTGCTGGGTGGAGTGCTCTGCGGTTGCTGGGTGGAGTGCTCTGCAGATGCGGTTGCTGGGTGGAGTGCTCTGCGGTTGCTGGGTGGAGTGCTCTGCAGATGCGGTTGCTGGGTGGACTGCTCTGTGGTTGCTGGGTGGAGTGCTCTGCGGATGCAGTTGCTGGGTGGAGTGCTCTGCGGTTGCTGGGTGGAGTGCTCTGCGGATGCGGTTGCTGGGTGGAGTGCTCTGCGGTTGCGGGGTGGCGTGCTCTGTGGTTGCTGGTGGCGTGCTCTCATGCTCTGCAGATGCCGGCCAACTGATCCAATCTGACATTTCTTTGTTGATCTTTTGCCTACTTGTTCTACTCATAACGAAAGTGTGTTATTGAAGTCCCCAGTTTGTTGCTGAACCGTAGTCTTGCCTTTTTCCTCAGACTTAGAATCTGTGTCGAAACTTCTTGATGGGAAACATGTGATTGGCTCTCAGGTCTCAGCCTCTGCTCTCCCCATTACATGCCTGGAACATCCTGAGGGAGCTCAGAGCAGACAAGGCCCCGGCTTCACGCTTCAGATATGCTTCCATTACTCCCACCTTATAAATGAGGAACTGAAGGGCAGAGGGGTCCAGAGCACTGCTGAGGACAGCTGGCTGGCTCAGAGCTGGACTCGAACCTAAGGCAGCTCAGTCTCAAATTTATGCCCAGCGCCATGTTGGTGCATGCCCTCCTGGGGTAGCCAGAGAGTGTCATGATTACACCAGAGATGAAGTAGTCGGAATATGGACCCACTCCTAAGCTGCTGTGTGGGCTGCTGTGTGGGGAGTTCCAGAAGCGCACACACCAGTGGAAAAATTAAATGTGGATTTTTATGGTATCCCATCTGGCTTCTGCCACCTCCCAGGCGTGGATCTGCTCACAGCCAAGTGACCTCCCATCTGCAGGCTTCTCCCAACGCGGCTCAGTGGTGCCTCATCTGGACCACGAGTCCTCTCCACCCCAGGTGCGCTTCCACGGATGCCCTTGGACTCTCCTGCCTGGTCTTCCCACCGCTCACCCTGGCCTCTCTCCAAAATCCCCCATGGCTGCCTTTCTCTATCATCTGGCCTCAAAACCTCAGTCATTCATTCAAAGCCCTTTGTAATCCAGACCTGACTTGGGTCACAAATCAGCAAGTGTATCCATGACACCAGTGACCCTCAGGCCCCACTCTGTGGCTTTGGTGAGTGACAGATGACTGTTGAGTGACTAAGCAATGGTGCAATTGAAATTCCAGGGAATGAGACCCATTTGGAATTTCCTGAAGAAACAAACCCCCAGGCACAGGAAAGAGGCATCCGTGCATGTTTGGCTCCCTTTTGCCTTGAAATCCACGGAGCTCCGAGGCTCTTTCCGGCATGCTGGCTGTACACAGGGCCTTTCAAGGGCAAGGAGTCCTCAGCTTTCTGGGTCTCCTTAATGAGCCTGAGGCCTGCTGCCTGCAAGTGCGGCCCCTCTGTGCTTTTGCTGGCTGTTTGTGAAGTCAGCCCTGCCTTTAATAGGCCTGCTTGCAATTAACATGGAATATAATACTGAAGAAAATGCTGTAAAGCACTTGGCCTCTCAGGAGCATAACACTAAATGTTGATGCTCAAAGGCACTAAACAACGTGCATAATTAGGCAAATAACTCTCCCCTAGTTTCCAATGCAGAGAAAGGAGGGAAGTTAAGGAGGGTGTGTGTTCAAGCCTGTTGGATCAGTGATGCTAGGGAGAGGCCTGGAGCTGGCTTCCTAGGGCCCAGGGTCCCGTGAATGACTGGGGTGAAGCAGCCTTGCCATGTGCCTTTGGAACACCCTCAGGGAAGGGTCACAGGGAAAGGGCACACCTAGGTTCCTCAGGCAGGTGCAGCTTACAGCTTTCCAGGCTGATCTCTATCCCTGGTCAGAAGGGAATGGCAGACCCAGAGAGGAAACAGACCTGCCCAGGCCCGCGGAGATGGAAGAGACTCGATTCTCCTGCAGATGAGGCTTGAATCTGTTGGGTCCTTTGGGAAAGTAGGTCTGGAGAACTTCAGGGTGCAAACAGGACGCAACCATGCAGAGTTACAGTTTTTCTCATAACAGGGTGTTGGATTTTCTCAAGTCCTTTTTCTCTATCAATTGAGACAGTCGTGTAGTTTTTGTCCTTCATTATGACAGTGTGGCAGATTATCTTGATTGATGTTCATATTTTGAGCCATCCTTCCATTCCAGGAGTAAATCCCACTTGGTCAGGGAGTATAATCCTTTAATGTGCTACGGAATACAGTTTGCTAGTATTTTGTTGGGGATTTGGCATCAGCAGTTATCGGGAAAATCGGTCTGTAGTTTTCTTTTCCTGTAGCTTTCTTGTCTGGGCTTGGTATCAGGATAATGCTGGCCTTATACATTGAGGTTGGAAGTGTTCCTCTTGTTTAGCTTTTCAGAAGAATGTGAGGAGGATTGCTGTTAATTATTTAAATCCTTGGTAGAATTCTCCGGTAAAGCCATCTGGTCCTGGGCTTTTCTTTTTTGGGAGATTTTTGATGACTAATTCAATCTTTTACTAGTTATAGGTCTTTTCAGATAATTATTTGTTCATGATTCAATCTTGGTAGGTTGTATATTTCTAGGAATTTTTCAATTTCTTCCAGATTACCCAATTTGTTGGTATATAGCCATTGTTCATGACATTCTCTTACAATATTTTTTATTTATGTGGCATCAGTTGTAAGGGGCCTCTTTCATTTCTGATTTAATTGAGTCTTCCCTCTTTTTTTCTTAGCTAATCTAGCTAAGAGTTTCTGTTAATTTTGTTGATCTTTTCAAAAATCCAGCTCTTCAGTTTGTTGATTTTTCTATTGTTTTCTATTATTGTGTTTATCTCTGTTCTAATCATTACCATTTCCTTCTTTCTGCTAATTCATGTTTAACTTGTTCTTCTTTTTCTAGTTCCTTGAGATGTAAAGTTAGGTTGTTTATTTGAGATCCATCTTCTTTTTAAATGTAAGTTTTCACCTCTATGAATTTCCCTCTTAATACTGCTCTCATTGCATCCTATAAGTTTTGGTATGTTGCGTTTTTGTTTTCATTTGTCTTGAGATATTCTCTATTTTTCCCTGTGGTATCTTCCTTGATCCTTTGGTTTCTTAAGAGTCTGTTTTTAAATATTCACTAATTGTGAAGTTTCCCGTTTTCCTTCTGCTGTTGATTTCTAGTTTCATTCCTTTGTGATCAGAACATATATTTTCTATAATTTCAAACTCTTACATTTGTTAAGACTTGTTTCGTGGCCGATCATATGGTCTCTCTTGGAAGATATTCCACGTGCCCTTGGGAAGAATGTATTATATATTCTGCTGTTGTTGTGTAGAGTGTTCTATATACGTCCGTTAGGTCCAATTGGTCTATAGTGCTGTTCAAGTCCTTTGCTTCCTTACTGGTCTTCTATCTGTTTCTTCTATCCATTGTTGAAAGGCGAGTATTGAGGTCTCTTACCATTGTTGTGTTCCTGTTTATTTCTTGTAGACAGCATATAGTTGGATCTTCTTTTTTTTTTTCTTTTCATTTTTAATCAACTCAATCTGTCTTTTGATTAGGGAGTTTAATTAATTTACATTTGAAGAAATTACTGGTAAGGAAGACTTACTACTGCCAATTTGTTAATTGTTTACTGTATGTTTTATGGCTATTTTGTCTCCATTTTTCCTCCTTACTCCTTTCCTTTGTACTTTCAAAATTTTTTATAGGCCAGGTGTGGTGGCTCACACCTGTAATCCCAGCACTTTGGGAGGCTGAGGCAGGCAGATCACGAGGTCAGGAGTTTGAGACCAGCCTGACCAACATGGTGAAAACCCATCTCTACTAAAAATACAAAAATTAGCCGGGCATGGTGGTGCACACCTGTAATCCCAGCTACTCAGGAGGCTGAGGCAGGAGAATCACTTGAACCTGGGAAGCAGAGGTTGCAGTGAGCCGAGATTGCACCACTGCGCTCCAGCCTGGGTGACAGAGCAAGACTCTGTCTCAAAAAAAAAAAAAAATTATAGTGACATGCTTTGATTTCTTATTTCCTTTTGTATGTCTTCTATAAATATTTTCTTTATATTCACCTTGGGATTACATAAAATATCTTAAAGTTATAATGATCCATTTTAAACTGATAGCAGTTTAACCTCAATTGCACTCAAAAACTGTACTCTTTTACACCTTCACTCCCCTACACTTGGCTATTGACGTCGCAAATTATCTCTTTTATATTGTGTAACCATTAACAGAGTTCTATGATTATTTTTAAATGTTTTCATCTTTTAAATTCTATACAAGAATTAAAAGTGATTTATATACTAACATTATGATAGTACAGGATTCTACATTTGTCTATATATTTACCTTTTCTAGAGAGTTTCATATTTTCATGTAGTTTGGGATTGCTGTCTAGTGTCCTTTTATTTCAACTCGAAGAACTCCTTTTAGCATTTCTTGTAGGAAATATCTCGTGGTGTTGAATTCTCTCAGCTTTTGTTTATTTGGGATGATTTTTGAAGGATAATTTTGCTGGATATAGTGTTCTTGGCTGACTGTTTTTACTCTGATAGCACTTTGAATATATCATTCTACTCCCTTCTGGCCTACAAAGTTTCTGCTCAGAAACCCACTTATAATCTTATGGGAGCTCCCTTGCACTGATGAGTTGCTTTTCTCTTGCTGTTTTCAAGATTCTTATTTTGTCTTTGACTTCTGACAGTTTGATGATAATGGGTCTCTTTGGATTTATTCTAGTTGAATTTCTTGAACTCTTATGTCCATTCTTTTGCTCAAATTTGGGAAGTTTTCAGCCATGATTTCTTCAAATAGGCCTTCACCTCTTTCTCTCTCTATTCTGGAACTCCCATAATGTGTGCACAGGCATATCTTTTATTATTGTGCTTTGCTTTATTGCACTTCACAGACATTGTGGGTTTTTTTGTTTGTTTGTTTTTTTGAGATGAGGTCTTGCTCTGTCTCCCAGGCTGGCGTGCAGTGGCATGATCTTGGCTCACTGTAACCTCCACCTACCAGGCTCCGGAAATCCTCCCACCTCAGCCTCCCAAGTAGCTGGGACTGCAGGTGTGCACCACCACGCTTGGCTGATTTTTTTTTATTTTTTGTAGAGACAGTGTTTTGCCATGTTGCCCAGGCCGGTCTCAAACTCCCGGACTCACACAATCTGCCTGCCTCGGCCTCCCAAAGTGCTGGGATTACAGGCATGAGCCACCGTGCACAACTGACATTGTGTTTTTGTTTTGCAAATGGAAAGTCTGCGGCAACTCTGCATCCAGCAAGTCCACCAGTGCCATTTTTCCAACAGCATGTGCTCACTTCTTGTCTCTGTGTCACATTTTAGTACAATTTATAATAATAATTTTAATTTTCTTTATTGTTATATATGTTATAGTGACCTGTGATTGGTGATCTTTAATGTTACTATTACAATTGTTTTGGAGTGCCATGCGCCTTGCCCATACCATATCAGATGGTGAACTGAATCGATAAATGTTATGTATGTTCTGACTGCTCCACCAGCTGGCCATTCCTTCACCTTTCTCCCTCTCCTTGAGCCTCCCTATTACCTGAGACACAATAATATTGAAATTAGGTTAATAGCCCTACAATGACCTAAGTGTTCAAGTGAAAGCAAGAGTCACACATCTCTCACTTTAGGTCAAAAGCTGGAAGTGACGTTAGTGAGCTTAGTGAGGAAGGTGTGTCAATAACCAAGATAGGCTGAAAGCTAGGCCTCTTGCTCCAAGTAGTTAGCCATGTTATAAATGCAAAGGAAAAGTTATTTAAGAAAATTAAAAGTGCTCTTCTAGTGGACACATAAATAAGAAAGTAAAACAGCCTTGTTGCTGATACGAAGATAGTTGTAGTGGTCTGTGTAGAAGATCTAATCAACCACAATATTCCATTAAGCCAAAGCCCAATCCAGAGCAAGGTCTTAACGCTCTTCAATTCTGTGAAGGCTGAGAGAGGTAAGGAAACCACAGGAGAAAAGTTTGAAGTTAGCTGTTCATGATGCTTAAGAAAAGAAGCCATTTCCATAACATAAAAGCACAAGGTGAAGCAGCAAATGCTAATGTAGAGGCTTCAGCAAGTTCTCCGGAAGATCTAGCTGAGCTGCTTGATGAAGGCGGCTACACTAAACAACAGATTTGCAATGTAGATGAAACAGCATTCTATTGAAATAAGATGCCATCTCGAACTTTTAGAGCTGAAGAGGAGACGTTAATACCTGGCATCAATTCTGCAAAGGACAGACTGACTGTCTTGTTAATTACTAACGCAGTTGGTGATTTTAAGTCGAAGCCAATGCTTATTTACCATATTGAACATTCTAAGGCCCTTAAGAATTATGCCGCATCTACTCTGTTTGCACTCTATAAATGGCACATAAAGCTTTGATGACAGCACATTTGTTATAGCACGGTTTACTGAATATTTTAAGCCCCCTGTTGAGAACTATGCACAGGAAAAAAATGTCTTTCAAAATATTACTGGTTATTTATAATGCAGCTGGTCACCCAAGAGCTCTGATGAAGATGTACTAAATTAATATTGTTTTCATGCCTGCTAACACAATATCCATTTGCAGCCCATAGATCAAGGAGTAATTTTGACTTTCATCTTATTATTTAAGAAGTACATTTCTGGCTGGGCACAGTGGCTCACGCCTGTAATCCCAGCACTTTGGGAGGCCGAGGCGGGTGGATCACGAGGTCAGGAGATCGAGACCATCCTGGCTCACACGGTGAAACCCCGTCTCTACTAAAAATACAAAATATTAGCCGGGCGTGATGGCGGGCGCCTGTAGTCCCAGCTACTCGGGAGGCTGAGGCAGGAGAATGGCGTGAACCCAGGAGGCAGAGCTTGCAGTGAGTGGAGATTGCTCCACTGCACTCCAGCCTGGGTGACAGAGCAAGACTCCGTCTCAAAAAAAAAGAAAGAAATACATTTCTTAAGGCTATAGCTGCCGTAGATAGTGATTGCTCTGCTGGATCCGAACAAAGCGAATGGAATGCCTTCTGGAAGTAGTTCACCACTCTACATGCCATTAAGAACGTTCCTGTTTCATGGGAGGAGGCAAAATATCAACATGAACAGGAGTCTGCAGGGATTTAATCCCAGCCCTCACAGGTGACTCTGAGTGGTTCAAGACTTTAATGGAGGCAGGAACTGCAGATGGTGGAAACGGTGAGACAACTGGAATGAGAAGAGGAGCCTGACGATGTGGCTGAATTGCTGCAATCTCAGGGTAAAACTTTAATGAATGAGGAGTTTCTCCTTACGAATGAGCAAAGAAAGTTGTTTTTTGAGATGGAATCTACTCCTGGTAGAGACAAACATTCTTGAAGTGACAACAAGGTATTCAGAATATTACATAAAGCAGCAGCAGGGTTTGAGAGGACTGGCTCCAAATTTGAAAGAGGTTCTACTGTGAGTAAAATGCTGTGAAACGACATTACATACCGCAGATAAGTCTTTTGTGAAGGAAAGAGTCCATTGAAGAGCAAAATTCATTGTTGTCTTAAGAAATTGTCACGGTTACCCCAGTCTTCAGCAACTGCCACGCTGATCAGTTAGCAGACATCAACACTGAGGTAAGAGCCCCCATCATGAAAAAATTATGACTTGTTGAAGGCTTAGATGATCATTAGCATTTTTAGCCAAAGAAAGTATTTTCATTAAGGTATATACTTTTTTATACATAATGCTATTGCACAATTAACAGGCTACAGTATAGTATAATCATTACTTTTATATGCGCCGGGAAACCAAAATATTTTGTGACTCACCTTGCTGTGGTATTCACATTATGGCAGTGGCCTGGGATCAAACCCACAGCGTCTCTGGGGTAAAAAACCTCCATTGTTCTGCCTGATGTTTTCCCGTAAGTCTCACAGGCTCTCATTACTTTCTTTATGCTTTTTTTCCCTCCTCTCACTCAATAATTTCAGATAATTTTTCTTCAAATTTGATGGTTCTTTCTCCATGATCAAGTCTGCTGTTGAACTCCTCTATTGATCTTAAAATTCAGTTATTCTTCAGTTTCCGAATTTCTGTTTTGTTCAGTTTTTATAATTTCTATCTCTGTTGTTATCTCATTTTGTTCATAAGTCGTATTCTGAATTCGTTCAGTTGTCTCTGTTCTTGTTTAGCTCACTGGGCATCTTTAAGAAGGTTACCTTGAATGATCAGTTAATTCATCTCTGTGTCTTTACGGTCATTTCCTGAGATATATTTTGTTCCTTTGACTGGGCCTTGGTTTCCTGTTTCTTTGTATGCCTTGTGACCTTGTATTGATATTTGGGCATTTCAAATACATTGTGCTTCCCGCAGTCTTTGTTAACTTGCTTTGTACTTTCACTAATCAGCCCAGGTAGAGATTCTGGAACTTCTCAGCCTTTTCTGGGGATGCATCTTCTTTGGGCTTGTGTAAGTAGTTTCCCAGTTAGAGTTTTGCCCATGTTTTTCAGGAGGCCTCTGTCCTCTGGTGTCTGTGGCTCCGCAGGATCCTTTGTGCTGAGCGAAGATGCTCGTCTTTGCTCTCAGCAGCCCCTTACCTGACATTCAAGCTCTGCAAGTTTCCCTCAGTGCTCTGAGTCAGGTGAGGCAGATACCAGTCCCATGGGCAGCCCCCTGAAAAGCGAGAACATTGGATGCATGTTCCACTCTTCACTCTCCCTCTCTAGAGAGCAGCCAAGCATTGAGGGCATTGAGGGCTCCTATCATGCCAGGGAGCAGTAGGCACCAGGGCACAAAATGCTGTGACTTTTTTTCTTATCTGCTCAGATGTGGCCCTTCTGGGCTTTGCACTCACAGGGGGTGCTGCAACCTCCTAATCGGATTCTGGGGTTCTCACACTGGCTGTTCTGTCCATAGATTATTGCTAACCAGTGTCTCGGTGGGGGAACGAGGACTCCCTGGGGCTTCCTAGTTCTCCATCTTGCTGGTGTCCCTGTATTTAATTTGTTCTTAGATTATCTATGTTGATTTATAAATTCTAGCTCATTCATTTTAATATTCCATTTAATTAGACCGTATACCATGATTTAGGCGTCTATTCTGTGGAGGAATCCACATTCATAATGACAGGTTTTCATGTTTGCTGCATTCTGGGTGTGAGATCGTAACATTCACATAACAAGGCGAAGGAATCTCCAGGTCACACTGAGTGAAGGACAGACCAAGATGGGTCCTAGGCAGCTGGATTTCCTACTTTTAAGTGGCTGAGCTGTCAGAAACCTAGGGCCTAGCAGCGGTGTTCCTCCAGGAAAGTGGGAGGAGAAATAGCCGCTGGACTAGGTGAGAACCGCGTCACGTTTGAGAAGCGCTGATGGCTTCCTGCAGGACGGGAACGGACTGTGTTCCTTTAGCTCGCACGGCTCCTCTCCTGAGTGTGAATTTCGGTGCCTGTTGCTCCTTTACTATAAATCAACCTTGTGTTTTAAGGCAGCCGTCCCCAACCATTTTGGTACCAGTTTCATGGGAGACAATTTTCCCACGTACTGTGGGATGAGGGTGGGGTTGGGGGGATGGTTTTGGGATGAAACTGTTCCACCTCGTATGCTCAGGCATTAGTTAGATTCTCATAAGGAGCACGCAACCTGGATCCCTCTCACACGCACAGCTCACGACAGGGTTCATGCTCCTATGAGATCGAATGCCGCCGCCGATCCGACGGGAGGCTGTGCGGCCCAGTTCCTGACAGGCCACGGACCAGTACCTGTCCACACTTGGGGTTGGGCACCCCTGTTTAAAGGTACCTTGTTAATCTGCCCAGTCTAGTCCCAGAGAACGCCAAAGGCATGTGTTCATGCCAAATTGTGTGTGTTCATACCTGGAGACGTGCCGTGGACACCCCATCCCTGGAGGCAGGGATCAGAATCCTCTGATCTACGGGATGCTTCCAGCAGTCTGAGGGGCGCAGAGCTGGCAGTGTTGCGTTCGTGAGGAGCCAGGCCAGCACTGGCCCAGAGCAGCGATGTTCCTGCCAGTTCCCAGGGAATGAGAAGGAGTGAGGGCACAGGATCCTGACCACCCCCGCCGTGCCTGGTGTGGGTGGCCCTTCAGGAGGCAGCCCGCTCTGCAGGGTGCTCGTACCCTGCTGTCCTAGGCATGTCCTGCCCTCAGAGTCCCAGGTTACTGGATGATAAAATCTGTAGTTACTGCATATATTTTCTTGCAGTTCTAACGTACCCTTTCCTTCTTACTATCAGATTTTAAATGTAAAAATTAATTCAAGTGAAGACAGTACCTCTGTTTTCTCATCGAGTTCCAAGAAATGAACCGAGGTGGATTTTCCTGTTCTCCCCGGAAGACCAAGAACCTTACGAGGGCCCTGGCTTTCTTCCCTTCTCTTTTCTTTCTTTCTCTTTTATTTTCTTATTTTTGTGCTTTTCTTTCAAGCCCAGTTTCATGATTTAAGACCTCAGTGCTTTCAGGTTCCAAAAATCTGGGCTGGTTCCTTGCTGAACCAACAGGGGTGTCCAGCCAGGTTCCTTCTCTTGGGGCCCACATAATCCCATTGTATGGTCCTGGCAGGTGGCCAGACACTTTTCCTGCCCTGGGGTCTGCTAGTGAGAGGATCCTCAATACAATTAATTCCCTAATCTCTTCATTCCAGCACTTTCCGTCTACGTTATTGAAAGATGGGCATTCAAGATGCTCGTTTTTAATGACTTGCTATTTTCACCCACTTGGTCACAGCTCTGTTGGGTTTTATTGTCAGCGGGTAAAACACCTGCCTCTGGGCTGTGCAGATAAACTATAGAAAACTGCGTGCTCCCCCTCCCTCATCCAGCAATGAGCCCAGGCAGGCAGGGGAATTAACATGCACAACTTAATTGGATTTTCATCGTGTCCTGCTGGCTGACAGAGGAGCTCCCCTCTCTTCATGATTGCATTCAAATGCCAGGTTTAATTCTAAGACTGCAGCTTGGAAGGTGAAAGGCATTTCGCAGTAAACAGTTCATTAAGAGACACTTCCAGCCTCTCCGCCTCCTCTGAGTGTGGAGAGGGGCTTTCTGTGGAAGGGGGTTTTGATTTAATTGAGAACTCAGTGAATGCCTGGGACCGTGCTGTGGGCCCAGGACCGTTGCCACAGACGTACCGTTGCTCCCAGGACCATTGCCACAGACGCACTGTTGCTCTGCCCCATTTGCACTGGGGTTTCCGAGTGCAGCCAGTTCAGATGCCCAGGACCCAGGAACCCTCCCCAGTGACTCACTCCACGGCCACCCTGGGCCGCCACCCTGCACACCGGGTGCTGTTGCCCCACTGAGAGAGGTGGGATCAGAGGCTGGGAGATTCATGAACATGACTAGGGTCACCTGGCCGAAGTGGTGGAGCTGCACTCCGCTCTGAGGGTGGCTGATGGCCAGGGCCCTTCTGAATGAATGAATGAACTAGTAGCCACAAATGGGGACTCTCCTGCCTGAAGTGATGGTTGGGGTGAGCCCAGGGCTGGAGGTGGGGCGTGCCTGGGAGGACAGAAGAGTTAGGAGCAGGGAAGGTGGGAGCCACAGTCCCTGATGTGCATCCGAACCTGCAGGGTCCTGGCAGAGAATGGGGTGAGGCAGGCACCACATCTGCACGAGACAGGAGCCACCTGCCGACGTTCTGTCCCCAGACCTGGTGCCCCTGCTCCTGACCCTACAACTGAGGTTTTGGACCCAAAGCCTCAGAACTGAACTCCAGCTTAGGATACGGAATCTGCCTCCAAAAGGAAAAGAGCACAGCTCTGGGAGCACACACCCCCATCCCCTCTGCAGACTCCACAGGCTGAGGCCGCCCTCCCGCCATCTGCACTCCAGTGCCCACCCTCACCTGCTGTTCTCCACACAAAATGTGAGGGCAGGTCTCCCTATGCTCAGGGGGTTGGGCCTCATAGGGCCTGGAGAAGCACATCTTTATCCTCACAGCACCAAGTCAGCCCATCACACAACCACAGACACACAGACACATACACACACACACACAGGCACACACATACAGACATGCAGACACTCATACACATGCACAAACCTATACCTGCTCATGTACCACACACACCCAGAGACACATACACTCATGTACACACAGGCACCTACATACAGACATGTAGACACGTACTTATACACAGACACATACACACACATGCAGAGACACACGTGCACACATACATGCATGTATGTGCACATATAGACACGGACATGCACAGGTACAGCTACATATGCATATGAAGGCATGTGCACATGTACATGCAGAAACACACGCACACACATACAGACATGCATGTGCACACACATACACATATGAACACACGTGCACATGCACACGGGCACACATGTATAGAGATGCATGTGCACACAGAGATGCATATAGACATACAGGCACACATACAGAGACACACATGCACACACAGCTATACAGATATACACAGGCACACATGCACACACACGTAGACACACGTGTGCACATGCAGACACAGAAAGACACATACACATGCTTGAATGTCCACACAGACACACATATGGAGACACATACAGTCACACCCATAGCGAAGCACACACGTGCACACCCACTTCAGTTTGGTGCCCGCATTTCCTGCCCTGCCCTTTTCTCTGAAAGGAGAACAGAAAATCCCAAAGCCTGGTACTGACAGCATTTAGCTAATTGTGCAAACTGCACCCTCACCTGGAGCAAAGACTTCTCTGAGTTTTATCCTCAGATTAGAATGGATTAAAGTTGTTCCATGCTGAATTCATCCTGGAGTTTCACAACTCCTGGGGCAGGCAGCTGGGCTGGGCCTCACTCGTCCTTCCTTGGGGCCCTGCTGCCCTGTTCTCCTGTGGAGTTTCCCTTCCCGCAAGAACAGAGCAATCACTGGGTGTGGGAAAATGATTTTCCATATGGAAAAAGAAATAAGATCCCTGTTTCCCAACATACACAAAGCCCCACATGGGGCAAGAACTTATGTAAGAGTTTTCCTTTAAAAGTTTGTCTGGAAAATGTAGGTGGACAATTTATGACCTTGGCTGTAGGGAAGGATTTCTTAAATACATTGTAAGAAGCCCTGGCTATAAAATAGGAGTCTGATAAAATGTGAGTACATTTAAAAAACTATTGGTCAAAAATAACCTCAAAGAAAATGAAAGAGAAGCTAAAAATGAGAGGATACTCACCGGGGACATAACTAACGAAGGGTAGGCCTCAGGAATGTGTAAGGAATTTCTATAAATCAGTAAGAATGAGAAAAAGACCCCGAGACATGAAGGGGCATCTCCCTCAGGAGAAGCAGATGTGAAGCAGTGTTTGCAGACTTGGACATGTGGAGATCAAGACCCAGTGAAATGCCATCTGGCTCACTTGTTGGCCAGCACTGGCCGGGGGTGAGAGGCCTGCGTGGCCGCCCAGCCTCACAGGCCTTTCCCAGTGCTCTTGGGCCTTGGGCACAAAGGGTTTTGGAGGCCTCCTGTCCTGTGAGAAAAGGGCTGCCCAGGGCCAGTCAGCAGGCTGTGTGCAGGCCCAGAGAGACCCTGCCTGGGACCCTGCCTGCTTGTGGGCTCCTTCTCTGTCCTCAGCTACCCTTCCTGGGCAGTGGCCCAGCTGGAGACCAGCAGGTGGGTGAGTCACAGCTGTGGGTCTGAGCTGTGGGCGCCTGTGCTCCCCAACTGTGGGGGCAGAGAGGGCATGAGGAAGTGGTTCTGTGAGTCAGAGACCCCTGGGGGACGTGTTTTCCAGAACACTGACCTCCCCATGGCCCTGACAGAAGTGGGGCTGTGGCTTCTGTCCTGTGAGCCTTAGACACATGCAGACAGACACATAGAAACACATGGACATGCACACAGAAGCACATGTACATATGCATAGAGACACACACTGACATGGAGACACATATGTAGACACGCATATACACATGCAGACAGACACACAGGGACATAGACACACACAGACACACGGACACACACATATCTACACCCAGATGTACATGTGCAGACACGCTCACACCTACAGACACACGTGGACATAGACACACATGGCCTTGGGGAGGGCGTGAGACGAGTGCTACTGGCTGCTCACCCGCAGCTCCCTCCCTACCACACAGAGATGCTGTCAGATCAGGGCCACCTTGGGCCCTGCAGGCTCACAGAGCAGTGGAAAGGGAGGGGTCCCTGATGGGGTCTTCCTAGGAGAGGAGCCTGCTGGGTTGGGTTTGCTTCTGAACCCTAAAACCCAATATGGGGACCCTCCATGACTCCACGTAAGAATTAGGAGAAGCAGGTGAGACACAGGGCCCAAGAGAGTTTGCAAAACCTGGGAACGGTGAGAAGCTGGAGCTGAGGCCATGACCTGGGCTCGGCAGCAGGAGGGGGAGCGGCCTTCGGGGAGGGCAGGGCTGCAGCCGCGGAGGTGGGGGCCACACCCAGGCTGGGTTTTCTCTTTACGGCCATGGCGCCAGAGGGATTTGGGGATTGAGATTTGCCTGGTGCCTGATGGAGAGTGGATGGGAGAGGGTGCCTGGAGGCCATGAGGCCGGCCCGGACCCTGGCGTTTCCAATGCTGAGCTGGTCCGCCCTTGAGGCCAGGGAATGCTGTGGTAGGAGGTTGATGGCCCTGGAGATGTCCACATCAGAATCCTTGGGATCTGTGCAGATGTGGATAAATTAAGGGCTTGGGGATGGGGAGAGCATCCTGCAGTATTGAGTGAGGCCGGGGCAATGACATGTCCCGAGAGGGATCTGACGGCAGGGGGAGCCCACGTGACTAGGAAGGCAGCCGCTGGAGGGTCCAGGAACACTGGCTGAACGTGGGGGCCTCTAGGAGTGGAACAGGGGACGCTGCTGGAGCCTCCAGGAGGCCAGGCCTGGCTGATACCTTGGTTTTAGCCCAGTGAGGCCTGTTCCAGACCGCTCACCTCCAGAGCTGGGAGAGGGCGAAGGCATTGTTTTGAGCAAAGCCCGTTATAATGGCAGCAGGGGACTGATGGGAAGCTTCGTGACTTGGATGGGCAGTGACTTCTGGAGGGAGCTGTTGTCTACCCTCTGCCCCCGTTAGACACCTGCGGTACCCTCTCCCCCACCAGCGACAGGCGGGCTCAGATGCTGGGGTCTGTGTGCCCCAGGCACGGGCCACACATCCTGTTCTGGGTGTCAGTGCCGTCCATGGCCACCACTCCATCAGCACGAAAGCAACTAGGAGCTGAGTCTCCATCCGACTGGGGCCTGTGTTCCCTGACATCTTCCACACCCCAGGCAGACACGGCCCAGACAGCCACCTGCATCCTCTGTCACCTTCTCTCCCCACCATTGGTGGCCTGATGGCCCTGGGGCAGGTGGGTCACCTGGTGGGTGGCTGAGCACTCCCTCGAGGTCCCAAGGCCGATGCTGCACTGAGCCTGCAGCTCTTGCCATGGGCACTGGTGGGTCCCAAGTAACAGAGCAGAATCCCCAGGCAGCACATGGCTCTGGGCACTGGGGAAAAGGAAGGACCTGAGTGGTCACGCTGAGGAATCATCACTGTCCTCAGCAGAGCAGCGGAGGGACCTTTTGAAGTGCCCGCTGGCTGGAGCATCCCCAGTGGGGCCCCATCAGGATGCAGCCTAGAGGAAGCATCTCCCAGCACCCGTGTTGTGGGGGACCCTGTTCTTCCTCAGGTCCTGCTCAAAACTCTGCTCCAGGCACACCCCATTCAAACCCCCTGATAGAAATTTGTCTGGGCCTTGGCTGGAAATCTGCCAGCAATGGCAGAGGGGAGGGATCACAGCTTTAAGCTAAAAGGGACACCACGGGTGGAGCTCGGGGCCTCTGTGGGCCCAGATGCAGGGCCTGGGCAGTGGTCAGCCTTGCTCAGATATCCTGCACAGATCAAGTAGAAAGTTCTCAGCTGGACAAAAGACTCAGAAAGAAACATGTGGGGCAAACTCCTGGCCACCTGCCCATTGCTCCAACAGGCTGCATGGGGGCTGACCAGATGAACGGGCACCTGGCCTTCCCCTAATGAGCACAAGCTGCTCCCACAGGAAAACAAAAGTGTAATTCAGAGGGGGCCCTGGGGACCCACAAAGCCCTGCGGCCCGTGTGTGCTGATGGAGTTCATTTTCTGCATATTTGAGGGAGATAAAGCAATCATTGTGTGCGCCTCTTTACCCCCCAAGACCTCACTGATCCTTGGAGCTTTCTACCCGAAGAGTCTAATTACTGGGTCCAGGGTGACATAGGGGAGCCCCGTGGAACCAGGACCATCTGCTCAGGTCTCTCTGCTGCCCTGTGGCTCTGAGGGTCCTGCAGGAGGGAACCGCTGTGACCAGGACAGAGCGGGTCTTCCTGACACTGCGATACTGGCTTGAAGGAAGTGATGAAGAGCACACGTCCCTGGGTGGCCCTAAGCCAGGCTCAGCACTGGGGCCGATGGTCCTATCTAAGCCAAGCAGGCCCCAGAGCTTTCCCTGGTGCCCACAGCTCCATGGTCCAGGGTCTGAGATAGGAGGCTCAGATCTGGGTTGCTGATAAACTAGGCATCTAGTCCAGGGGCTGCTGGAGGCAGGAGGAGCCAAGACCTTCTCCTTGAGCTAAGATGAACTTAGGAGGCCAGGAACAAGGTCAGGAGGGCAGGGAGGAGCTCAGAAGGCCGAGGACAGGCTTGGGAGGCTGAGGACTCGCTCAGGAGGCTGAGGACCCGCTCAGGAGGCTGAAGAAGAGCTCAGGAGATTGAGGATGGGCTCAGGGCCTGGGGACAGGCTCTGGATGCTGGGGAGGAGCTCAGGAAGCCGGGGACAGGCTCAGGGGGCTGAGGAGGAGCTCAGGAGGCTGGGGAGGAGCTCAGGAGGATGAGGATGGGCTCAGGGGGCTGAGGACGAGCTCAGGAGGCTGAGAATGAGTTCAGGAGGCCAAGGCCGAGGTCAGGCGGTGGGGATGGGCTCAGGAAGCTGGTAACACTCTAATCCAAAAGCCCTTGGGCTGAGCAGAGCCCACCACTGGACCAGGGCCCGTGGCCGTGGGGGTCCCCAGGGAAGTTGCAGAGGGTGGTCTGAGCTCAAGGTAGTAGGAGTGGGGGTACCCCCCAGCTTCCCCCACACCCACCCCCATTTCCCTGCACACTGTGGCGTTGTCATGGAGGCGCTCTGCTCAGAGCCAAGCGGACCACACCCCACCATTCAGGCCCAGACACCCAGAGCCACCAGCACTTTCCACCGGGACAGGGCCTTCTGAGACAACTTTCCAGGACAGGCAAGGTGGGGACACCTCTGAGCCCCTTCCAGGAGCATATGATGAAGGAAAGGAAAGAGCAGAAATAATAATACTAGAAGTGGCCAGCAGCAACGGTGTGTCAGACACAGTGCCCAGCTCCCGGCAGAGTGGCTGGACACCGCACCATCTCCAGGCTGTGATCCAAGTTTCCCTCCCAGCCTAACTGTACCGGCTCCCTTTCAAGTGGTCGGCTGGCTGCCTCTTGTCAGCAGGCAGCAAGGAGGAAAAGAATGCCTTTCTGCTTCTCATTGGTAAAACCTTCCGCCCAGATAAGATGAGAGACAAAGATTTGGGAGAAAACCTGCTGCGAGCAAGGCCTGCCCTGAAAGGTGGAGTGCCCTGCACCTGGGCTGTGTCTCCCAGCCGGCCGTGCGGTCCACCGAGGCAGGGGCACATGTGCTCGAGACACGGCCCATGGTGAGGACCTGCACACAGACACCATTCACTCACGCACACACTCACGGAGGACACACCCACCCATATTGACACACTCACACACTGACACAGGTACACATTCACACACTCATGGACACACACACACACAGGCACACACAGACATGCATTCACACCACACACCTACACAGAAGCACTCACACACTCATGGACACTTACATCAGTACAAACACAGACATATTTGCACACGCACACAGACACACTCTCCTATACACCCACGGGGCACACATTCACACTCGCACACACACATCCACACTCACCTACACACCCACACACATTCACACACTCACACTCATGGGCACACACACCCACACAGACACAGAAACTCATGGACACACACACCAATGCAAACACAGATATTTTCACACACAGGTGTACATACACACTCAGCTACGCACCCACACAGGTGGATATGTGTGTATAGGAAAAGACACTCTCCAGGGTCGGGCACTCCCCGGTTTCAGGCATCTGCTGGGGTCCTGGAAGGCCCCCATGGGTGAGGGGCCACAGCGCACGCAGCCCCCAGCTCCTGGCTCTCACCCATTAGAAAGGACACCTGCCGCCCTGGGCATGAGCAGGACTGTGGGAGATTTGGGGTGGGGGCTTCACCGACGAACTGTGGGATTCTCCTCATCTGAGGCTGCTCCTGAGCCCACACGGATTTAGCATTTCACGTGCTGCTCACTAAACTGAGTGAACGAGTGGCAAATCAGCCACTGTGCGAGCCGCCTCTGTGGGAACCCAGGGCCGGGCTCTGCTCTGCAGACCTCTCCCCTGCCCAGGCCTTGGCTCCAGTGGGCACTTGTCCTGCCAGTGGCCATGGCCCTGGCAGGCTCCTCTGTTTTCCTGTCCATGAGCCCCTGCAAGAGGCCTTCTCTGTTCCAGTCCCTCGGCATCCCGCTCTCCTGGCTTCTCTGGGTGAGGAGTGAGGAAGGGTCACAGAGGGTCCTGCCTGCCCGTCAGTACCTCAGGGCCTGCTTGGAGGTGTGTGGGGCCCTTGTCCTCGTCCTTGGGTCTGTGACTCCAGATCTGAGGCCTGTTGGCCGGCCCTGCACCAGAGCTGCCTGCCTCGCTCCTGTGAGGAGGGACCCAGCGGCCCCCAGACAGGGGCAGAGGACAAGGTCGTCCTAATGCTGGGAGACGAAAGCCCCTTGGCGCTGTCCTGCGCCCGCAAGCCCTGCCACCCCAGTTTCCCTCTCGCTCTGCAGACGATGCCCTTGGCCTCATGCCCCAGTGCGTGTGGTGGAAGAGACGCACAGCGCAGCCTTGGGAGCCTGCCGGAGGCCCCCTGAAGGCTCAGCCTGCTGCTCTGACCCCCACACCAGCTGGAGTCCAAGTTTCCAGGAAGACTTCATCTCCCTTGCCCCTCGTCTGGTTCTCGGAGAGCTGGATGGGGCTTTCGCTCAGCAGCACGGGCACAGCTCCACTTCCAAAATGTGAGGGGCAGGGGCCCAGGTGTTGGATGCCTTCAGAGCCCTGGAGCCCCGGGAGGGGCTCTCAAGCCCACCTGCCTGAGTCGGGCATCAGGCAGGGAGAGTGCTGGGGCCTCCGCCCCTGCTGGCCCAGTGATGAAAACCAAGCATGAAGGGTGGGTGTTCATTGGTTACTTGCTGTGTGTGGCCTCTAAACATGCACCATTCCCTTTAATTTTCACAGGCTTCATGGGATGGTATTAGTGTTGCCACCGGACAGGCTGGCCCTGTGGAAGGAACATGGGCGTGGGCAGTTCCTGGCCTCTGGTCTTGACTCCTGACTCGGTTCCACCCCCTTGGGATGCTTGGCCCAATTCGTGGCTCAGAGCCCGGCTCTATCTATTTAATGGGAGCTGCACTTGAGGAGGGCCAGGGAATCATCTGGGCCAGCAGAGGCAGAGGCCCCCGCACGCTCCCTGCCCGATGCCCGACTCAGGCAGGTGGTGAAGGCATCCGAGACCTGAGCCCCTGCCCCTCACACTTTGAAAGTGGAGCTGCGCCCCTGTTGCTGAGCAGAAGCCCCACGCATGCAGGGGTGGGTTGGGAGGGGCCCCTGCCAGAGCCTCTCTCTACGCCGGCCTGGCTGTGGCATGTTCTCTCCAGATTTCCTCCAGGAGACGGCCCTGGTCCCTTGCCACAATAGAAATTATGCCCCATAATTTTCTGTTGTAAAACTTGATCTTTTTCTGCAAGCAAGTCATTAAAACTTCAGCTCTTGCACGCTCCATGTCCCATGAATGCCCAGGCCTTAGCACAGCTTCCGCAGTGCCAGAAGTTCCGTCAATCATGTTGAGTGATTGTAAATCACTCAATCAGTGGATGTAAATATGTGTACAAGAAGAAAGGAAGGAGTGGGGACACGGCCCCTTCCCCACAAGCCTCTCTCAAAAACCCGAACCTAACAGAATACAGGGGTGGAAACATGAACCTTTTCTCCATCTTCTGACCCTTAAGGACAGAGAGAAGCAGCAGGTTGTGATGTCAGTAGGAACTTGCAGACCAGGACAGCTGAGCGCTCACCGACGGCTCGCAGGACACCCTCAGTCACCGCCGCGCCCATCAGAAGAAACAGCAGGAACCAGACATTGCTCTGCCTGCAGAAATCACATCTGAAAATCAACTCTGCTTTGCTCCAAGCGACGGAGCTTTTTCATAAGTATAAAAAACAGCTAACTGGATAAAAACACCTTTCCTGGGGACCTGAGTGCTGCAATTCAAAGGGGCTGGCAGTGTGAGGCTGGAGAAGGGCTCCTGCAAGGCTCTTAGCTGGGCAGGCCGAGGGAGGCCCCTCTCGGTGAGCACGAAATCAGGGATGCCCCGGGCCGGTTAGGGATGGGGCCTGGACACCGTGAGATTTCCAGCAGGCTACACCTGGGGCTGCAGCCGGGGCAGCCCCCACAGAATACTCAGAGGCAGCGGGAAGTGCGGGCTGGTGACGAGAGTGGGAACACTGCCCCACACGCAGCCGCCTCGGTGCCACCTGGCGGACAAGCCGCCCCTGTCCCCCGCTTGGCCTCTCCACATGGCACATTTGCCCCTGGCAGTGCCCAGCCCCAGGTCCGGGTGACTGGGGACAAAGAATACCGATGGAAAAACAAGCTAACGAGCTCCTCCTAGGGAAGAGGCCCGCGCCAGGGAGGAGGCGGCCGTCTGGGCGGAGCTTCCCGATAGCCAGGCCCGGGCGGTGCCAGGACACTCACCTCAGGTCTCACCTGCAGAGCATCCACGAGTCACTCACGCTGGGCCAGGCACAGGCTGTGCACACAGAGGGCAGATCCAGACCACACGAGAGCATAGGTGCCCACGGGTGTGCAGGGATTGTGGGGGGAAAGGAGTGTGTGCTTGTGTGCCTGTAGGCGTGGGTGAGTGTAGGTGTGCCTGTGGGAGGGCGAGACCATGAGTGTGAGGGTGCGCGTGTGCCTGTGGGAGGGTGTGTGGGTGTGGGTGTGCGTGGGAGGGTGTGATTCTCTGTGGCTATGCCTGATTGTGTGTACATGTGGGTGCACATGCTGCACGTCTGTGCTGCAGGAACCCATAGGGCCAACCTTAGGTCCTAATTCTGGGCTGACCGTGTGCCGTCCCCCACGGGCCCCTGCATCCTCAGTTCCTCATCTGTGCTGTGGGCAGAAGCTGGGCTGCCCCACACTCCAACATCCCTAGAAGGGAAGGGATGGGGGCAGGGCTGGCTGCAGGGACAGCCTCGCCCACAGCAGACACGGAGGCCGCAGGGTCATGCCCTGGATGGATGTCACCCAGGAAAGGTTTTGCCTCCTCCAGTCTTTTAAATCAGGCTCCAGGGGCTACGATTACAGCCCTGGGCTTTCTCCCACCCCTCAGCCTCCCTCCTTAGTAGCTCCACAGCAGCTCCCTCCCGAGAGCACACCACCCCTGCACGCTCGGAGCTGCATCCTCCAGCCCCTCATTCCCCGCTCATCTACTCCGACCCAGCTAGGGATCCGGCTTCCCTCTTAGGGCCATTTCTCCTTTGCCAGCATTTTCTCTTTTTCCCTTCTGTCATGCTCTGCTACGTCCTCATGCAAAATTAAGCCCAAAACGGTTTCAGTTACTCCCAACCCTGAGACGAGTTTTAAAATAGTGACAGGATGAACATTGCACCTCCCATGTGAGGGCTGTAAGGGACTGGCAGTTCCAAATGCATCTTCCACTCGCAAAGTTGCTAACACAAATCCCATGGGGAAAAGGGAACTGCTGACCTTTCAGCGTGCAGATCTTCCCTTTGATGGGTTTGCTTGCCTTCAGAAGAGCCCAGGAAAGCTCTGCACAGAGGCCTGTGTGTTTCCGCCCCTCCTGTAGGAAATGAACGGGTGCGTCTTCTCCGTTGCCTTTATTGATCAAGGCCAAAATCACAAGTATAAATTACCACGGTGGGAAACGAGCTGCTCTGATGAGAGGCAGGTGGAGGAGGCTGCCTCGTCAATAATGCATCTGATCAGAAAGAAGGGGCTGATCAGAGGGAGGCCGGGCTCTTTGAAGGTTCTGGTTTTCCCATGGAAAGCTCCACCAGCTCTCTGCCTGCCGAGTTCCTGCTCTTGCCCAGACGGGAAGTGCGAGTAGCTTTCATATCAGACCTGCCGCTCACCGCACCGAACTGATTCCATGGACACTGACATTTGTCTCTGCAGCAGGGATGGCCGCCCTGGCCCAGGCTCCTGTCGCTGTGGATGCCTCTGTCTGGCACAGACTTTCGGTGTTAGAGCCCCAGGTGAAGGTCTGAAGCAAGAAGGAAAAGGACACAGAATCCCATCCCTTCTGAACCTGCGGGGTGCAGCTGCCCTGAGATCCTGTAGCATTTCACTGGGAGCCGACAGGGATGGTTTGCGCGCTGCCGGGATGCGTGAACAGGGGAGTCCATGAGGCCCCAGGGCTGACTCAGGGCACGTGCAGTTTGGGGAGCAGCCAGGGAGGCCTCCCGGGCAGCCGGTTGGAGGACAGAGCTGAGGACATGCAGGCTGTCTTCTATGATCAAGGGTGGGTGAGGCACAGAGGAACTCTGGTGACTGGATGCAGCCGTGAGGGGCCGTGGCCCAGAGAAGCACAGCGGTGTCTCACCTGGCTTCTCCGCAGGCCTCAGACTCATGTCCTCAGGTGCAGGTGCCGGGCCCTCCTCCAACAGTGAGCTCCAGCTGCCTCCCCGCTCAGGGGCCACTCTGCTCTGATACGGGCTCTGATACCGGCCTGCAGCTCCCCTGCTCTTGGTTTCTGCCTGGTGTCACCTTCTTCCACGACACCCAGTCCCAGGATGACTGACGCCCAGGGAGATCTGTCGCCTCTCCTCAGAGACCACGTGTGTTCACCCTCAGCAGCAACACGCTGCTCCTTCCTCAAGGCGTCCTGAGGCATTGTGCATTTTCACCATTTCTGGGATGTAAAGAAGGAGGAATATTTGTCAGATAGAGAGAATACCGGTTCAGATGGTTGGTGGCTCAGATAGAGGTGGGGTTTGTTCCAGCCAGCAGCCCGTCCTGAGAACCAGGCTGGAAGAAACACCCTTCCCTGTGGCACCACAACACCTACACCGAGGTGTCTGTGCTGCCTGGAAAGCACAGCGGGTCTCCCCAGTGCTGGGGTCATCCGGAGAGCCAAGCACCTTCCAGAGGGGCCTCGAAGTGGGGGCGCAGGCCCCCCAGGGTGCTCAGGCCAGACCGCCTCCTCTCAGGTGGTTCAGCAAGAGCTTCCTTCTGCCTCAGATCCTTCCAGGGTGTGGACTCTCTTTTCTTATGATTCTTTTCTGACTTCACCTTACGTCACTCCTCTCCAAACCTAGATGGTAAGCCCGGTGAGGGCAGGGACCCAGCCTCCCTCATTTGCAAAGCAACCACAGTCCCTGCCTTTGAGCTGGGCTGCGGGTGCCAAGCTGGAGAGCATTTCGCCCTCTCCCACTGCTGCTGAAACAGAAACCACAAATTTAGTGGTTTAAAATAGCACAGATTTCTTCTCTTGCAGAGCTGGAGCTCAGAAGTCCGAAATGAGTTTCACTGAGCCAAAGCCAGGGAGTCAGCAGGGCTGGTCCCTCTGGAGGCTGCAGAACACCTGCTCTGCACCTCCTCCGACCTCTGCAGCTACTCGGCACCCAGGACAGCTGTGCGGCCTCTGCTGTGTCTGAGCTGCTGTTGTTCCATGGCCCTCTCTGTGAGCTTGCTGTCTCCCTCTCATAAGGGCCCTCTCATAAGTCATCTGGATGACCCAGAACAACCTCCCAATCTCTAGACACTTATCCCGACTCCATCCATAGAGCCCCTCTTGCATGTAAGGTAACGTGCCCACGGGTTCGTGGGATTAGGATGTGCACACCTTTGGGGGCCTGATGTAGCTGACCATGCCCACATCTGGTGGGAACCCACCTTCAGGGTTTCTTCTCCTTGGACACAGGCTACAGCCCAAGCCAAATGTCCCAGAGCCTGGAGCAGGGCCCCCCTCCCCCACTTTCCCCAAAGAGGCTGGCGCGGGAACAAAGCCCCTGTGTGGTCAGGAGCTGGGAGGGCAAGACAACAGGACAACAGGACAAGAGGACAACAGAACAACAGGGCAACAGGGCAACAGGACAACAGGGCAACAGCCATCCCAGCTGGAGAAGATTCTCAGGGCTGAGGTGGAGGAGGTCGGGCCTCAGCCGGGCTCAGAGTGGAACTGCTGGTCCTCCTGTCACAGGAGGGAGGGGCGGTGGGACGAGAAGAGAGGGCCTTGAGATCAAGCCGTGCCCTGCTGAAGCCTGGCAGAGGGGCTGTGCCTCTGGGCAGCTGGTGTGAGCTGTCGTCTCGTGCAGCTGGTCTAGGATGGGGCAGAGGCTCTGCCTTGACCTCTCCCACCCCTGGTGCCGTTTGCCCCTCCACTCCAGGTGAGCACAGCTGGAGCAGCAGCTACCTCGAGGACTGGTGGCCTTTGAGGTTTTCCCGATGGACTTTTCAGGCTTCTACCAGCGGGGCCCCGTGACTGTACTGCCTCCTGGGAGCTGCTACTGGGAGAGGCAGCGGTACAATCCCCCCTGCCTAGAGTCGACAAGGGGCTTCCCCCACTGAGCTGAGACAAGGCCTTCTGTCTGCATCATGAAGCTGCGATCGCAGCTTCCTACAGCTATGAAACTCCCAGCTCAACCTACCCAGACTCAGTTCTGTTCCCTGAGACCTTCGGTCACAATGGCACACCTCGCCTGGGGTGGAACCTCCTGCTGTTTACACTGATGAGCCCAGGGTGAGCAGAGACAAAGCGCCAAGACACGCTCGTCAGAGAAGGGCTGGGCAGGACAGACACAGGCGGACGGGGTGGCCAGAGAGGCCGTGAGAAACGGACAAAACAGAGGGGGTGCATTTATCATCCCTTCCTCAGCACCTGACGCCAGGCAGGCCCTGTGCCTCCCCAGTCCAACTCTTCCAGGCATGGCAGATGCTTGATAATTCCTGCGACTGACCCAAAGGCTTCACAGGTCAGATTCCAGCCAGGCCGAGCCTGTGAAAAGACTTTCTTCAGAAAGTCCAGACCATGGTGATCATGGCCATTACGGCTGGAAATGTTGGAAGACCTGCAGGGCACTGGGCTTGTACCTTGGCCTCTTGGACATGCCCCCTCCTCCCTCGTCTCTCCCCAGGGAGAGTCAGTGATGGTTCACCTGGTGCCAGGCTGTTCCCCATCCAGCAGGAGCCATTAGGGAGGAGCAGGTGGGCTGGGCCCCACAGACTGAGAGAGTCAGGTCCCCAGCCCTGGAGAAGAGGGCACTTTAATGAGTGTATTTGGCCAATGGCCAGTCACTGAGGCTGTGGTCCTCCCCTGTCTCCGAGAAGCCCCAACATGGAAGGCTCAGGATAGAATATCCCCACGACTCTGCTCACCACCCTTCCCATGAGGCTCTGTCATGGGAGGCTGGATGCAGTGTGTCTTTAAAATGGTCTGCCCATCTCAGTCTCAAACTTTGGAAAGGGTTAACATAGCATTCCATGACCAGGATGCTGGGACTTTGAAGTTTCCTCTGCTAAACAGGACAGAGGCTCAAAAGAGCTCTTCCTCAAGCTGATTTAACCAGTCACTGGGTGGCACAGGCCATCAGCACTGAAGGCCGCAGCAGAGAGATAAAGGGATGCAGCATCACTTATGCAAAAGCAGAATAAGGTATTACCCCTTGCAGATGGCTTCTGGCATTTACCTTGTTGGATCTCATGTTAGCAACGACCACCAACACTTCTGAACGGCAACACTTAACGAGAGTCTTTCCATTCTCCATGAAAAGAGTTGTCACAGAAAAATTTAAAGGGAAAGTGGCTTTAAACTGCCCATATCAAGTAGGAGTCTCCGGGGCTTGGCTGAGCCGGCGTTCCTCCTTTTAACTCTTCCATGTCGTTGGAGAGCCAGAGTTTGAAAGCCCTGGGACAGAAGAGGAGGAAGAAAAGGAAGACGAGGAGGACAAGGGGGAGGGAGAGGACAAGGAGGAGGCAGAGGAGGAGAATTAGGAAGAGGAAGAGGGGGATGAGGAGGAGGAAGAAGAAGACAAGGAGGAGGAGGAGGAGAGGGAGGAGGACAAGGAGGAGGTGAAGGAGGAGGAGTCGGGGAGAAGGAGGAGGAATCGGGGAGAAGGAGGAGAATGAGGAGGACAAGGAAGAGAACGAAGAGGAGGAGAAGGAGGAGGAGAAGGAGGACTAGGAGGAAGAGGAGAATGACAAGGAGGGGGATAAGGAGGACAAGGAGGACAATGGATGAGGAGGAGGGAGTAGGAGGAGGAGGGGTGGGAGAAGGAGAAGGGGGACAAGGGGGAGAAGGAGGAGTGGGGGAGATGGAGGGGCCAGAGGAGGAGGCAGCCGTGGTGGCTTGGGCGAGGCGTTGGATCCAGGGCGTGCTTGGCTGTTGCCTCCCTCTAGACCTCAGTCTCCTGTCCTGTGAAATGGGCAGGCACTGAGGACCCTGTAGCATCCCCAGCCCATGAGTGCTCACCCCCTTGATGAGCAGCATCACTAGCATGTAGAAATACGTTGGATTTAAGATATTTCCAAGCCATGGTCCTAAGTGGTGGCCACATTCCAGGCTCTCCCCAGAGGCGATGAGGATCCGGTTGCTTGGCATAAGCCTCACTGTCGTGTTGTCAGCCTCTTTCCGCCTGCATCCTGGCGGGCGTGCAGGGCGTCCCACTGAGATTTTCAGTTGCACTTCCTGATCACTACGAGGCTGAGCAGCTTTTCTCAAACTCATCAGCTATTTGTGTATCTTCCAAACTGTTTGCTCAAGTCTTTGCCCGTTTTTTAGAATTGGGCAGTAGTCTGTTGATTGCTGGGTCTCCAGAGTTGCTTACACATTCTTCACGGAGGTCTTTCATCAGGTGTCCCTGTTGTGTGTATTTTCACCCAATGACTTCCATTTTCTTGAAGTCCAATTTATCAATCTCCCTCCTTCCCCTGTGGCTGGTTTTTTAAAATGAAGTTTTTTTATTTTAGAGCCATTTCGAGTTTACAGAATTGTTATAAAGATAGTGCCGGGTTCCCATATACTTCACACAGTTTGCTTATTATTAATGCCTTACATTATAATGGTACATTTGTCAGAATTAGCGAACAAACGTTGCTACATAATCATTGACTAAAGCCCACGGTTCATTTGGTTTGTTCTCGGGTGGCCGTTTTGTGGGCCGGGATCCTATCCAGGATCCCGTGTGACATTTGCTTGTCACATCTCCTTGGGGTCCTCTGGGCCGTGACAGTTTCTCAGACCTTCCTTGTTTTCTGTGATCTTGAAAGTTCTGAGAAGCTGGGCTCAGGCATCTGGGGGAGTGTCTGTCTGCCGGGATTCGTGTGAAGTCTTTTTTTCATGATCAGATTCCGGCTGTGGGCTCCTTGGAGGAAGAGCAGAGGTGAGGCGCTTCTCATCCCACCACATCAGGGGTCCTGCCTCGGCCCGGCTCACTGCTGATGTTGACCTCGGCTACCTGGCAGAGTGTGCTGGCCAGGTTTCTCCAGCATGAAGTCACTCTCGTTTCCCTTGTAAGTTATACTCTAGTTTATCAATCTTCTAGTTTATGGCTTGTGTCTTCTCTATGAAACCCTTGCCTAACCTCTCAGTTTCGAAGGTATGAGAGGGAGGAGTCAAGATTCTTTTTTCTTTTCATGTGGATATCCAGTTTTCTTTTATTTATTTATATATTTTATATTTTAGAGACAGGATCTCACTCTATCGCCCAAGCTGCGATCACAGCTTACTGCAGCCTAAAACCCCTGGGCTCAAGGGATCCTCCTGCCTCAGTGTGCACCTCCGTGCCTGGCCTACATCTCTGTGTAGAGACACAGAGTCTTATGACGTTGCCCACACTCGTCTCAAACTTCTGGACCCAAGCAATCCTCCCACCTTGGCATCCCAAAGTCCTGGGACTACAGGCATGAGCCCCCCTACGCCTGGCCTGATATCCAGTTATTTCAGTACCATGTTTCCCCCTGTGGTTTTGGCCTGCTTGTTGAAAATCATGGGATGGTGCCTGTCAGCCTATTTCTGTAATCTCTGCTCTATGCCAGTGAGCTATTTCTTTATGGCCTTACTGGTGCAAGATTTGACAACTCTTCTGATGGTGCCGTTCCTTTCCAGATGGCTGTGGCTGCCCTTAGACCTTCACTTCTCTATGAACTTCTAAATCATCCTGTTAATTTAGAGGAAAAGTCCACAGGGACTCCAATTGAGATTTCATTGAATGATTAGATCAATTTGTGAAGAATTAGACATGGTATATTTAGAGATATATCTCTCAGATAATTTTTGGTGTAGAGGTTTTCACATATATTGTGAAATTTATCCCTAAGTATTTGATTTTACTATTATAGATAGTATTTTTGACTTCATTTTAAATTAGTCATCAGCAGTATATAGAAATACAACCTATCTTTATATGTTGACCTGGTGTCCTGTGATGTTTTAAATTAGTCATCAGTAGTATATAGAAATACAACTGATCTTTACATATTGACTTGGTGTCTTGTGATGTTGCAGAATTCACTTATTGGTTCAAGTTGATTTTTTGTGGATCCCTTAGGATTTGCCACCTCATTTCACCTGTAAATGAGGATAGTTTTACTTATTTCTTTCCAATATTTATACTTTTCTTTTCCTCATCTCTTTGCACTGGCTGGAACCTCCCAGCCCAATGCTCACAAGAAGAGATGAAAACAAAAACAGAAACCCTTCCCTTTCTTCCCGTTTTAGGGGGAGTTATTGAGTATTTCATCATTTGTTATGATGTTGGCTATAGAAAAAAAAAAGTCTGTTTTAACAGTGCTAGCCACTGGGAGAGTAAGCACCTGCCCTTATCTGAAGGCAGGGACTTCTGAAGGCCTCTGTGCTGAGTTCTGAATGACTTCCAGGTCACAATTAGCTCCTGGATGTTTACAGACAGAGTTGCAGAGACGTTCCTGGGTCCCATGACCCTCGTTGGACCCCAGGCATGCAGAGGAGAAAGCAGCATCTTCAGGCCCAGCCCAGGCGAGTGTCCTGCCTCTCTCACTGTCAGGGACACCAGGAGCTTGCAGCAATGGTCCTAACCTCTCCCTGCTCCTTCTCCACTTTATGGTCCTTACAACAAGGTGATCCCCTGCTCCAGGATCTCAATCATAAAGGGTAGAGAAGCATCTGCATGAGGCAAAGGTGGACCTGAAAGCCAGGCCAGTGTTCGTCCCCACTCGGCCTTGTTGCTCCGTCTCGTCCAGGCTAGGACCTGCATGTGTCAGGGAAGCAGCTGGCTGAGCTCATGGGGGCAGAGAACCACCAATGAGGTGGGGGAAGAAGGGTCACGCTTCATTTAGAGGGGCACACAGTGCAGAGGAGGCCAAGCCTAGCCAGGCAAGACGTGCATCCTGAGTGAGGCGGGTAAGACCACCTGCATTCAATGTGCCCCCTGTGTCTCCCCACTTCTCAACTCTTGTCACACACTGGACAAGCAGAGACAGGAGAGAATCACTCCATGTCATTGAATAAACTGGTTTAGAGCTCTGTCTGATAAAACCACAGTGAACAGAGAAGAAAAGAGCCATCACGTTTTAACGTGTGGCCGGCCTGGGTGCAGCCTTCTGAGGGATCCCTGGAAGCCTCAAAGCTGTTTCATCTCGGGCGAGGTTTGGGGTCCTCTGATATTTGTGGATTCTCTACCATATGGGAGACCTAAAGGCTCAGAACATGAAAAGTGTTGGGAGCTTTAAACTACTATCTTCTCTTTTCCTTTGGTATAATGCACGAGAGCAAAATGTACAAACGGATCTCCTTATATTCAAGGTACAGACCAAGGAATGAAACCCAGGGAGCAAAAGGCACGGCAGACAGCAGCAGGGCCAGGGCTGTGTCCAGTCCTCTGAAGACTGCGGGGTCTGCATAAAGGAGGCCCTGTCTCTTCCCCTTGGGCTGCTCGAACCACACAAGCTGATGTCAGGAGTGACTAAATCTACCCTAATTAATAGACCATTTGACTCAAGTCCAAGCTAGGAAGCAAACACACAAAAGGGGTTCCTATAAAAACACCAGCAGAGGCGTGGAGCCGTTTCAGCGTGCTGTGGAGAGAGCTAACTCCTGGCTGCTGATCTCTTGAGGCCACGTGAGGGCTCCATCCCTGGCTTGGCCACCCACACCTCCCCTGGGCCGGCACCTTCTTATCTGGATGAAAACAATTCCCACCTCACGGGAAAGTTTTAGGCAACATTGTTTATTGCCTGCAAATCTCCCTGTGTGGTCTTGCTGAGGCACCAGCAAAAGCAAGTTGCTTCTGCTCTCTGTTGACTTTGGCCAGAGCATCTTTTGACCGAGATTTGACCGAGTCACCACCGTCTGACAATTATGAAGGATTTGATTTATTCTGGACACTGGCCTTCTCCAAGCTGGCGGCTAATAAGGTCCTATGAATGTTGTTAGCTGTTGACTGTGGACCACATAATTTCTCAGAGATTCTGCACCTCTTTGGAGCACTAGCTGGGCGCTGCCTAGAGGAACTTTCTGATGGTGGAAATGTCAACTGATGGTTAGATGTTCAGGGGCACCCCATCCACCAGGCGAGCTCAAAGCAAATGTCCTTCTGGAGTGAGTGCATGGGTCCAGGAAGGCCAGGCGTGTCGTTGTGTAGGGCCATGAGTCCACGAGGAAATGAGGTGCCAGTCCCCCTGCTCCTCACAGGGATGGACCAGGACTCACTTCCGACCAGTTAATTAATGGACTTGAGACTTGTGACCCACCTGAGGACCAAGTCCTCGCAGGACACTGGGTAGAATGGTAAAGACAAGCAGTGGCATGACCTCTAATGCCAGAGTAAGAACGTGTGCCCCATGCCCACCCAGGTCGCTAGGCCTTTACTGCAGCCGAGGCACTGCCTCTGTCTGGTCTTGGGTGCTGAGAGGCCGGGACCTGCTGCGGCCTGTTGGATGCAGCTCATGCTCCCTCCCGAGTCCGTGGCAGAGAGCAGTAGGGGCTCAGGGCAGCAGAAGGCCCAGGGAGAGGAGGGGGTCCTCCCTGTCCAGGTGAGAGCCTTTGACCATACCAAGAGCCGGGGTGCCCAGTTGTCCTTCAGCACTGGGCCTTCCAGCAGGCCAAGGGAGACAGTATCAGAACCTCATCATAGGCTGTTTAAGGCTTAAGTGAGGTTGACAGGTGAAATGCTGAGAACAGTGGCCCCTTGCAAGCGTTTTATGGAGGTAGTGTATTCTCTGTGTGGATGCAGGTGGGGAGAAGTGGAAGGAAGGACGCACGAGAGCCAGCCTGCGACACCTAAGGACAGAAACACCTCCCTCAGCCCAGCCGGCTGCTGACTCCATGCGAAGAGGGACACCAACCCTTACAATCTCACAGTGTCCTGCCCCTGCCCCTGCCCCTGTGAGGTGGGAATCATTATGCTTATTTCACAGACGCAGAAACTCAGAGGGCTTAAGGGTGATTGAAGTTTGCTCCAGGCCTGGACTCGAATCTGTGTCTTTGCTTCCTAGGGCGATGCTCCTTCCATCAAAACCAGAGTGTCCCAGCTCTAGATTCCCCACCCAATCTCCTGTGGCTGTCTCAGCACCTCCGTCGTGAATCCGTGCATCCCTTCAGACGACTGCCTTCCGATGCGGCCCCTGACCTGCCCCCCCTCCCATCACTGAATAGGACTCCTTTTCTCCTGGATTTCCTGTAGGAAGTTTCAAAATGCTCTCCAGGTTTTCTGTGGGTGGATTATCTCTCTGGATCTTTCTAAGTGAGTCCTGTGTTTCACCACAGCTCCCCCCACACAGTTGAGCAGCTATACCGTGGGGAGGCTTGGTCCTCTTGCCCCATTTGTGTGATGTCTATTGTAGTCATGCCAGGGGCCTGACGTCAGAGCTCCACCCTGACATGTGCTCATGCCGGTTTACAAACCCTCCCAGGACCAGGCCCCCATCCCTCTTCCAGGACAGGCTCTGGAGCTCCAGCTATTAACAGAAACATTCCAGCCAGCATCCCCAGCGACCCTCAGCCTCCCACGCCGCTGTGTCTTCATGACCACAGCCTGGCCACCACACAGCTCCCCCTCGAGGACTGTGACCACTTCCAGCCATGGTCTCTTTGGGCCATGCGGGATATATTCCCATTTCCCCATTCAGCTGGGAGATTTTACCAAGGGATTTTTCTCTCCTGGCTCCAATGCCAGCAAGACCATGAACAGCTGTGTCATTTTCACTTTCAAGCCTCAGCTTCTGTACATAAAAGAATACAGTTAATAATGATTTCCTCCTCCTGAGTTGCTATCGAATGAAATGAGGTTATGCACACACATGGCAAGGACCTGCGTCTGGCAGGAACAACATCTCGTTCATCGTCACGAGTGCTTCCCCTTGTGTCTTCCCTCCTGTGTGTGAGATGGGGGCTCCCAGGCCTCCCCAACAAAATACACTTTTCCAGCTTTTAGAGGCCAGCATTCCTAACTCCTTGCAATAAATCCCTATCATAGTACAAATGTAAACACATCACGGTATAACTCAAATCAACTGCCCCTGATTTTGCCATGTTTCAACCTTTTGTTGCCATCGGCCTCCTAAACAATGGCTTTAATGGAAACACAGGTATGTAAGCTTGGAAGCTGCTCAAACATCTCAGTCATTCAGAAATAAAACACTTGTTGAGCAGCTAGTCTGTGCCAGTTGTATTAGAGTTCTCCATAGAAACAGAACCAATAGGATGTACACAGAGAGAGGGATGAGCAGGGATTTTTCATGTGACTTGGCTCATGTGATTATGGAGGATGAGAAGTCCTGCTGCCATCTACAAGCTGGAGAACCAGGGAAGTTGCTGGTGTACGTCCCAGAGTCCAAAGGCCTGAGAACCCCGAGTTCTGATGTTTGGGGGCAGGAGAAGATGGATGTCTCAGATCCAGAATAAGGAAAGAATTCACCCTTCCTCTGCCTTTTTGTTCTATCTGGGCCCTCAGGCTTCGGGGAGCGTGGATTTTCCCACTCACTCCCCTGATTCAAATGCTGATCTCTTCTGGAAACGCCCTCTCAGGCGCACTTAGAAAGCATGTTTTATCAGCTATCTGGGTTTCCCTCAGCCTAGTCAAGTTGACACCTAAAATTAACCAACCACTAGGCAATGCACTACCTAGGAATACAGAGCCAAGGAGGGCGGGATCTTCCCAGGCCTCAAGGTCTCTCATCTGCTGAGCAGACAGGCATGAGGCAGACTCTCACAAGTAATGAGGTTGGTGGCAAGGACTACAAAAGAGAAAGACCTCTGCCAAATGCAAAGTTGCACTAAGTGCTAAGATAAACCCAAATCTGAACTGCAGAACTGTGGGCTGTGATGTTCACCCCCACCCAAGTGGCTATGTTGCCACATCGGCTGCAAACACACGTGAATTTGGGCTGGGTATCAGGAAATGAAGTCATTCTGGGAATGGAAATTTAAGTTTGTTTAGGGAACTGTGAAAATCTGCATTGGAAAACAGATACTGCGAGAGAACAGGTTCTGCAGACCAGCAAACAGTCCAGACACTGGATTTCTTCCCTGCTCGCTGTCTGGCCGCAGCCGGGGACAGACAGGCAGAGCGGGAGTGTGTCAGAAGGTGTTTTCTAGGGGAAAGAAGGAATAAAAGAAGACCCAGAGGAGATGCAGTGACATTGGGAGGTTCAATAATTTCCCTGCAGTTGAGGGCCCCTGGACCACTGTTTCCCCAGCAGAGACAAGGTGGTGGCTGGCATGGAGGGAGCTTCCTTAGAAGAACCCAGAACCCGTGTATTCCCCTGAGAAGCGTCATGAAACCTCTCAGATCTCTAATCCCTGCACTGCCCTGGAGCATCAAGGCCCAGCGCTGCTGTTGAATATTGTGAATGTGGTTTTTCCTGACTCACCATAGAGTCAATAATTTCCAGTTTAAACGAATTTGTTAAATATCCTTCCAGATTATGCCATTATCCAAGAAAGTCTTAGCTGGCTAAACTGGAGCAAGCAATTCTTTTAGGAATTTGGAGAGCAAGTTTATTGTGAGAATCTTGCAGCTGTGACAGACAAATGTCCACAGAGAGAAGAGACGCCTCTGAGAGGTAGTGAGCCTGATAACTGAGCACCGGGAGGGCTGCAGAGCCGGACGGCTCAGCCTCGGGATCCAGCCCAGCCTCTCCTTCCCTACAGTGAGCTCCTGCCAGACCGCAATACCCTCCAGCATTCCTGACATGAATCTGACCTGCGGGGAGGATCCGGGACAGACCCAGCGCAGTGGAGCATCTCGGATGCCATGAGTTTCCCGGTAAGCAGCACCCAGGGGCAGCACCAGGGGGAGCAGCTTCTCAAGCTCCCAAGGGAGCATGTGGGTCGACGAACAGCAGCCTCCTCTGACTTCTTCCTGGTGATCTGGGGAAGGAGGAGGCAGCGTCGGCGCTTGGCCGCATTGATATATGACACCTTGTCCCTCCTTTTCATGGCCCCCTTTTCTCCAAATCAGGATTGTAAGGCCCATTGACTAACTTCTACAGATTGCCACAAGCTCGAAACATAGTAATTGAGGGAAAGAACAGCATTGCTGATGTTATTCCTTCAATCATAACACAAAAATTCTGAGTGTGTGCCAGGAAATGTCCTACCCAATGGAGATTAAAATTTTAGAGGGAGGAGACACGCAATAAACAACTAAATAATTAAAACATGCAGTGTGCAAGGCAATGATAAGGGCTTTGAAGAAAAGTAAAGCAGAAAAGGGGTAGACAATGTGAAAGCAGGAAGCAAGTTCAAAGGTATGGCCAGGGAAGGTCTTCCCAAGAGGTTGTCACCTGCACAGAGACTGAGACAGGCGAGGGCCAGGCGAGCTGGGCCTGGGAGAAGTGGGAGCACACCCAGATCATTCCAGGAGCAGGGAGGCCAGTGAGAACCATGAGCTGTGGAAGATGGAGTTGAGAGGGAATGGGGCAGGGCCGGCGGGGCCTTGCAGGCCACTTGGAGGCGTGGAGAAGTTCCTGGATGTTTGGAGCAGAAAGCTGGCATTCCCCGACCTGTTTCAACAGGAACATTGTGGCCAATGTATTGGCCACAGATCCACGCTGTAGGCCTGATGAACAGAAGTCTGACACATGTCACCACAATAGAGAGTCACAGCATCTCAATTCTCAGACTTAAACCAGTTTACAGACCCAGAGCCCCTGGAGGAAGGGCCCACCACACTGCCACCTGGTGAAACCATAGAGGCTTCACCTTCCTCCCAGCCTTCCCTGAAGACGCTGTGGCCGCTGTCTCTACTGTGGAAGGGAACTGATCAGACTCTGCAAGCGTTACTGGACACTGGCTCCGAAATGACACCAACTCCTGGAAACCCCAAATGTCACTGTGGTTCACAGTCAGGGTGGGGACTTTTGGGTCAGCAGAGTTTTGGCTCAGGTTTGATGCATAGTGGGGCCCACTGCGTCCACCCTGTGGTTATTTCCCCAGTTCCCAAATTCATGACTTGAACTGACTATTCAACAATGGGCAAAATCCTCACATTGGCTCTCCGGGCCACAGAGCGAGAGCTGTTATGGTCAGAAAGGCCAAACAGAGGCCGCTGGAACTGCGTCTTCCTGTGAAAATAGCAAACTAAATGCAATACCATATCCCTGGAGGATTGCAGAGATGAGGGCCACCATCACAGACTTGAGGAGGCAGGGGTGGGATTCCTACCACATCTCCGTACAGCTCACCTACTCGGCCCGCACGGAAGGGAGACAGCTCTTGGAGAAGGACTGAGGATTATCATAAACTTAACCGGGGTCACTCTAGTTGCAGCTGCTGGTCCAGATTCAGTTTTGTTCCTGTTTTAAAGCAACCAGTCCTCTGGCTCCTGGTCTGTAATGTGTATTGGTCACCCCAGGGGTGGATGAGCCTTGGCTGTTGGTTCTAATTCAGAAATTCCCAAGGAAGGTTCGTGGTTGGCCCAGTGTGGGGCAGACCTTCCCAAGAACCAATTGTCCTTGGAGAGGGTAGCAGAGCACTTTCCCCGGTTGAGGCCAGCGTGGGGCTCGGAGGATGTTTCAAAGGAGCACTTTGAAAGTCTTGGAAGAGGTGTGTGAAATCAAGAGCAGGGCTTCAGCCCACCGGCCCTCCGCTGCTCAGTGCAGCTCATGCCCCATGACCTCCCAGGAAAAGAGAAATGCCCATCCCAGGAGATCCCGCGCTCCACCGTGGTCAGAGCAGAGGAAGGCGCCTTCTGTGGCCAGGCCAGTTCACAACCGGCAGATTCCCCGAGTGCACAGGCAGGAGAGGGGCTGGCCACTGCCTTCGCTCTCTTCTGAGCAGCACTGCTGTCTGAAGAGTCCAGTCCCCACACAGCTGAGGTGAGGGATGGTGCTGATGCGGAATGTCAAGTGAGATGCATTTGTTTTCAGCTTGGAAGACGCTGTTTACTGTTAATTTGACCAAGTGTTAGAGCGCATCTTGGAGAGAAGATAAGACGTGGTCAGAGATGTAAAATGATACTCATTGTGCCTGTAGAGGCCGGGCTCAGGGCCCTGGTGCTTCTCCCAGCTCTGGGTGACCGTCTGCAATGGAGGGAGTGTGTGGGCTGGTTTGCCAGCGGAGAGATTTGCCTCACGTCACCAGGAGCCTGGCCGAGCACCACGGTGACCGTGGCCGGGTGGAAGGAGATGGACGCCCACTTGTGCAATTTGCTTCCATTCTTTCTCCAGGGGCCATTTCAGAATAAAATGTAATGGCCCTTTCTTGTTCAGTGTGGTCTCAAATGGAAGTTTCTTGCTTTGGATGCAGTTTCCATGGGAAGAGAGAGTGAAGGGTGCCACCCATGGTTTTTGTCTGGGAACAGGCTCTGTCTGGGCCTGGATCCCCGAGTCTCCCCAGACCCCTGGATGGCCCCTAGCCTCCCTCAACCAGAGGGCATGAATGATGCTGCTTCCCCAGCAATTTGTCTGTTTTCTGAAAGTTGCTGGTGATTCTGCACAGTGCTTGGAAGTCCTCTCTGTGCTCAGAAGCACTTATACTCAATGCAGCAGCGACCCGTCTCAGGGCACCAGCACAGCAGGGAGAGAAACTGAGGCGGTCAGGGTGGGGGGACTTCACCAGCGAGTCAGCAGGGTTGGTTCAGGCCAGAGTGTGGGGAAAGGCTCAAGGAATTAGAATTCTCACCTGATTGTGCCCCCAGCTGTGGACCGTGGCCTCGGCTTCCTTTTCTCTATGATGACACAGTTGGGAAAGCTGCTCTCCAGGGTCCCCCGGCAGCTCTGATGGCCGGGAACACCCACAGCCTGGCCCCAATCAGAGACGGTCAGCAAGGACACGCCGGCAGGGCTCAAAGAACCCCAGAGCTGAAGGGTAACACTGCACACTGTAACAGCTGCTTGCCCAGATGGTGACTAATGGCAGCTTCCAAGATCATTGCCTCACTGGTCTCAGCCCCGTAATAGGAAAATCCTCCTGCAAGCATGTGACTGTCCCCACCTGAGGAATGGGGGATGTTTACTAACCCCCATCATATAAGGAAGTGTTCACATTACAGACAGAAATGCCACATCTTGGCTAAAGGACGTGTCCGTTGAATCCCTTAAGTCTCCTGTGTTGCCGTCACTTACTGGGAGGTGTTCGGGTGGGACCTTGGGGCGTGGCCCCTTGCTCTTTTGTTGCCACTCTTGATTTTTAAAAGCATCGTCTTGTTCAGTTAGTACACCTGAAATCTGCTTTTATACAAACGAGTTAAAGCTCAGCCTTAGCCGTGGTCCAGTGGGGCCTGGGGAGGGCCTCTGCACAAGATGCACGGGGCAGACCCCACAGCACCTGGCAGGCCAGCACCCGGGGCCCAGCGGCCTAGTTTGGCCACAGCAGGGAACATGCTGCCTCCACCCCTTCCCCGGCTGGACCACAGAGACCTAGATAGTAACTAAGCAGAGACTCATGTCCTTGCTGTCTTTCATGGCGTGATTAAAGGGCCCTGCCCCACCGGGCGCTGAGAGCTCTGAGAGGAACGTCTGCTCCTGGCTTCTCTGGGAAGTGGGGCCCAAGTGAGGCTGAGCTGTGTGCAACATGCAGGACATACAGGCTCAGAGTGGTGGGGACAAAGCAAGGACAAAGCCTCACGACAACGGAGCAGGTTACAGAGCTGGCTGTGACTTCAGATGAGTCACGTGAGGCTGGCATGGCTGTGCTCCCTTGGGCATGCAGTCTCCCAAGAAGCAGCAAGAAGAATCCACCCTTCAGAACAGCCTGCAAGGGGGAGCACCCTCCCTGCCTGCTCCTCTGTCCAGAAAGCTGCCTCCCCACCCTTCAGCAGTTCCAGGAGGGGCGACTCCTCCAGGCCTGAACTGAAGGGACTGGGAGTATGGAGCACTGAGCAAGAAGAAGGGAGGGGGGCTGAGAGGAGGGGGCAGTGCACATGTCTGTGCTCTCAGAAATGGTGGAAAGTGACAGCCCTGGCCCCTAGATGTCCAGAATTTAAGAAAGATTCTTGGAATTCACACACACAAGCACAGAAACGCACACCCAACACCCCTTAGCCCCTGCTGGTCATGAGACTTATTATTGGATACCTGGGAGTCTGCATGTGTCAGATCCCAGTGGTGACAAACCCGCTGGGCCCCCTTCCCATCACTCACTGTCCCCAGGACAGAGGCATCACCAGGCCTTTGTCCCTCTGCTGGGGCAGCTGGGTTGGTGGGGAATAGAGGGGCAAGGGAGAGACCTGGGGCTTCTTTTCTCCAGCGTCACTCTGGGGGGATGAACATACTATGCATTTCTCCTCCTGCGATAATCAGGCCCCCAGGCCTGCCCCTGCACTGCAGCTCCCACCTGGTGCCTGGCTGCCTCAAGCCAGCAAGATGCCTCAGCCTCTGGAGGTGAAGAGGAAAGCTAGCTGTGCCCCCTCGTGGAGAGCTGCTGGTTTATTCCTTAGTGATGGGTCCTGAGCATTGGCCTGATTATTTTATAACAGACTGATATCTTTCTGGAGCCCCTGAAAACACAATTTGCTGCCATGAAGCATGTTGTTTCCTTGCTAAAACAGTAAGTTGTTTTCCCCAGCAATTCTAACAGGCAGAAAACCCCATCTCAGCACATCAGCATCCCTTCCCTACCCCAGGAAGGTAAGAGAGGGCTGCAGGAAGAGGAAGGAAGTGCTAGAAAGCGGCTCTTCCCCGGGGAGCAGCGGTCAGTCAGTCTGCATCCTCCTGGGAGCCTGGTTCCTGCAGTTCCCACGGCCGCGCTGGGTAAAGCTGGCAGGGAAGACAGACCTCTACCGGGGCAGGGCCCTGCAACTTCTTTCTCCTGTGTTAAACTGTTCTCAATGACAGAGGCTGCCACGATGGTGACACTGAAGAGCACTGGCAAACGCACTAGCTGAGTAACAGACACTGTAACCAGCTGGCTGCAGCATTCGGAGTGGGCAGGTGCTGCCTGACTGCAGGGGCAGAGGGCCACCTGTCTTCTCTATACCCTCCTGGCATTTCAGAGCCCTGGCCGGAGCCTGCCTTCCTGGCCATGGTTGTGAGCAGGGAGGCCTGGGTGTACACATGTCCATGTGTGGATCAGCAGAGGGGTAGAATGGGGCCTGTGTTTTTTTACCCCATCCCACCCGATGGCCTACACTGGAAAGTCATGTAGGAATGAGGAAGGTGAAGAGGGTTCTTGCAGCTGACACCAGGCTGCCCAGCTTAGGTTGGGCCTGACCTCAGGACTGAGCCCAGCCCCCAGGGTAGCTCCAGTGCTCACCGTCGTACCCCATGATGCCCTACTGTGTTCACAGGGGAATGAGGCAGCTCCCCACACACAGAGGGCTCCCAGGACAGGTCCTGCCAAGGGTGTGACTGATGACCTGCTCCCCGAGTCCAAAGTCCTGGCTGAGGTCCAGGCAGCTGTGTCAGGGAGGGTCACATGGCACAGGCCAGGAAGCCCCTGCCCATGGGGCTAGCATTTACCATCCACGAATACGCTCCCTTTCAGGGTGCCTGATAGTGGTGAGGGTCAGATCGGGCATGATGGAAGTCATGGCCAGGGCAGGAGGTAAAGAGGATGCATGGTCTCCTGGCCTCGGAGAGTTTGCAAAGTGCCCCTCGGATCTGTCACGGGCTGGAGAGCAGAGCACGCGGTCACTGCGCTTGGTGGCTCCTACCTGTGGGGGCTCCTCGCCGCTGGACCAGAGACAGCTTTCTGGGGGGCCTTCTGCTGCTCGCTGATATGGCCAGCCTGGCCTCTGTCTTAGACCGGGCACCGCAGTCCCCAGACCCAGGCCCTGGCCCCTGACTACCCGACACCTAGCATTGCTCTGTGTCAAGTAGCAGAGGCGCCTCTGTTCGTTACTTAAAGAATGGATTTGTTTCTGCTGACTCCAGAAACAGCAGTGCACATGAACCACTGTCATCGAGGACAAGGCCTCCTTCTCCCAGGCTGACCACAGGTGGGCACTGCCAGGAGCTCTGATCACTGTGTTCTCTGCACATGTAGGACGAGCTGAGCAGGCCCAGCTCTTTCCTCACGACTGCGTGCGTGGGGTCGTTCAGCACTCTGAGTCCCCTCCTGAAAGACCCTGGTGGTGCTCTGCCATCACGTCAGTGCCTGTGTGTTTCGTGGAGCACGTGGGCAGCCCTGTGATCCCCGTGGGCCTGGCAGCGGTGCCATCTACTTGTCTGCTTATCTCAGGCCATCTACTTTGTGCTGAGCCCTGAAGTGAGCTCTGGGTCCCAGAAAGGAGCTGGAGGGGGGACCTGTACCCTGGAGGAGTGAACAGCCTGGTGGGGAAGGGGACACGGACACCTACAAGTCAGACACGGGATCATAGGGCCTTCGAGGAGGAGGCCTGGGCTTCCACAAAGACAGCAGCGCCCCATCCTGTTCGTAATCTACCCCCAGGACGCCCCTCCAAGGCTGTGTGGAGGTAGACCTGGAGAGCTGGAAAGAGTCTCCACCCCTCTCCTCGTAGAAGTGGGAACACAGAAAGGAAGGAGCAAGGACGTGACCCCTCCACAGACCCCAGGCCCCGGGATGGCTGTTAGAGGGCCCTGGCTCAGGGGCCCCTCCTGTCCCTCAGGGAAGGGGGTGCTTTGGACTCCCCAAGCTGCAGGGAGTGGTCAGGCCCCATGAGGGTGGCAGAGGAACTGGTGTGGGGAGGAGGAGAGTGTGGGGGCTGTGCCTGGCCCTGGGGGTGCAAGCAGAACCCTCTGGGAGGGATCACAGGGAGACTTTTAGCCCTGAACGGGGAGTTGCCCAGAAGACCTTTGGGGGGCTTTAGTCTTGGCCTCGGCATCTCCTCTGGTCCCAGCCCTGACCCCAGAGATGGAAGGTGTCCAAGGTCAGCATGTGTCCGGCCTGTGGCCTCTGTTGGGCAGGCCATGCACAAAGAGGCCTCATTTATCCACAAAGACACCCTCTGTCGCCGAGACACAGACTCTTCCCTTCCAAGACCAGTGGAAAGGACTCGGGGACGGCTCCTTCGAGCCGGAAAACCCTGTCATTGCAAGGCTGCTCTCAGGCCCAGTGTGCTCAGAGAATTACACCTCAGCACCAAGCTCTTTTCACTAAGGGTCCCTTCCATAATTGGAACTTGAACAAATGGCAGTAAAGTATACAGGAGCTTGCCTACCTAGAACAGGGCTCTCAGAAGAAAGATAAGCTCCCTCAGGTTCAGAAATGGCAGCAAAGCACATTCCCCCATACTCCAAGGCCGGCACGTGGTGGGTTGGCAGTGGGGCCAGGCACGTGGGGGAGGCCCCTCTCTGTGAAGTGAGTCAAGGCAGAAAAGAGGAAATGCCTCTACCTATCCTGTCCGGGGCCAGGGGCCTGGGAGGTGAGGAGGGACATGAGAAGCAGACTGGTGCCGACCCACAGGCGTGAGCCTCCCCTACCCAAGGGAGCAGGAAAGCCCCATGGGGGTCTCCCGAGCCCACAGGGTCACGGGCACGTATTCACTGCTAACCAAGCTCCCTTTAGATGGTCAGTGTGGTGATATCTGGAGCTTGCCCTGGAGTTTGAAAGGGCAGGTGCTGGAGAGCGTGGCTATCGGGAGCCGTGGGCAGATTTGTGGAGGGAGGTGGCATGAAAAATGGCCCTCAAGATCTCTCCACCTGAGGAGGCCACCCTGTCTTCTGCCCATCCTCCACCTGTCTTGCTCCTGGTTCCGCTCATTTTCTTCTCTCTCAGCCGGCCCAGCTGACTCACCACCCGTAAGACCAGGCCCACCGTGGGCCCTGCCCTGGGACTTGGCCTCCATGTGCCCCACCTGGAGACAGAGCCACTGCCCATGGAATGAGGCTCGGGACTCAGTCCAGACATTGGCTGAGCAGGAACAATAGCACCTGGCATCAGTGACCGAGGAAGGTGTAAAGACCCCATCAGACAAGGCAGGGAAGAGGCTTCTGCCCCAGTGATGGTGTGAACCCAGGGCCTGGGCTTATGGAAAAGCTCCTCGAAAAATAATTTAGAGAAAAATAAAACCAGCAACCTCTTTATTAAGTACCTCTACCTGGGACACTGCCACCCCTCGTGGCCAGCAGGGATAGAAGGGTATCCACTGGTTCCCTCTCATCTCCAGAGGCTGCCTGTGCTGAGCCAACCGTGGTCCCTGAGCCAGAAGCTCTGTCCCTTGGGTGGCTTGACAGGGCACTCATGCTGAGCAAATAAATCCACAAGGAAACGCCGAGAGCCTTGTCCTCCCAGCGCGAGGCTTGCTTCCACTTGGTGCTTCACGGTCAGTACGAAAACCTGATGCACAGAGATGTTCCGATTATGTTTCTCTGCTCCCTGCTTCCTTGAGATCAGGCCACTTCGAATGAGGTAATGAGACCACAATTTTCTCCCCAGGAATTGTTCTCAACATCCTCTTTGCTGGTGTCTCCTCATTCATCCCAGCCCTGCTCAGATGCTCCCCCATGAGGTCCCGGGTGCCCGTCAGGGCCCGGCTCAGCCCCGGCATCCTTGTTGACTCAGGTCCCTCAGGATGGACCACTTTCTAGCCAGTAGGGCATGGGTCCCAGCTCTCCCCATGTGGAGTGTAGGGGGCTTGTGGTGGGTTCTACTCCCATGGCAGTGTTAGCCAAGGAGTCTGCGTTTCCACCGGGTCTGGGGGAGCTTGGAGTCATCAAAGGAAGCTTCTGTGAAAATCTTGGAGTTGCTGTTACTTTGTCTGGGGTTCCAAAAACAGCATTACCCCGAAGAAGGGACCTAGACTGAGTCTGAGCTCCATAAATTAGCTGCCCCTGTGTGGGTAAGAACAGATTTGTTGAACTCGATTTTTGCATTACATTTGCATAATACTCTCATTTAAATAATGACAGAAGGTATGGAGATGGGAGGTGGGAGGGACGTGGGCTCTGAGCCTGAGGGCTCCCAGTGGAAGGAGCTCAAGAACAGAGCTGCCCCTCCCACAGTACGACCTCCACTGCCCAGAGATCATACGGCAAATGGTGTTTTCTGGTGGGGTCAGCGGGGCGGGGGAAGAAGCGTGCCGCCTGGCCCAGTCTCTGTTGCCCATTGTCACCGCGTGGAGAGGTGGAGAAGTCCCAGGAAGGCAGAAGGCTTGGACCAGTGTGAGGTCTGAACGGCATCCCCAAAACCCCATATGCTTCCTCCAAGTTGTATTAATCCTATTTTTTTAATTTCTGTATTTTATGATGCTCTGACATCCTGGGGCCTCACTGACCAGAGAAGGAACTGCCTCTCCCAGGGGTAGCTAATTCCTGGGGACTCCCTGGTGAGTGTGCCTTTCATGTGCAAACCGCCCAATCCAAGCCCTTGGCTCCAGCCACCTCCTACATGGGCTCCTGCACTCCCAGGCCAGTATTTCCCTACCCTGAATCACCCAGGGCCAGGAACCAGACAACTAGAGCCCAGAGCCCTCCAAAATTGCTGAAACGCCAGCCCTAGGCCTGCTCAGCTGGTCACCACACCTCCCCAGCTCCTTCCCACGATAAGGGCTCTGGGCCTGCTCACCCCTCACTCCTGCTGCCTCCCGGCTGAGCTGGTGCTTTCCCACATGGCCTTGCCTGGTATGCCATGCCCCCTCCTCTTGGGAACCTTAAGTAATAAACTCTCCTTTCAAGACAGCTGTCTCCATGTTTGTCATCTTATCATACCTAATTAAAATAAACCATCGGTACATCGCAAAACACAAGCCTCTGTCACCCTGGCAGCCGGGAATGAACAGGAGATGCCTTCCAGGTGCCCAAGCACTGGGCTGATAACGCTGATGGGCACAGAACAAGCTGAAGGTGCCACCCCCAGGAAGACTGCAGGAACTCTGAGAGGAGTAGCTTGTTCAGGGCCCCCCTGCCAGGGATTGAAATAATTATCACTAACACCATCTTCCAAAATAGCATCTTGCATCTAGATCAGGGGTGTCCAATCTTGTGGCTTCCCTGAGCCACATTGGAAGAAGAAGTGTCTTTAGCCACACATAAAATACATTAACACTAATGATAGCTGATGATGAGCTAAAAAAATCGTGAAGAAATTCTCATAGTTTTAAGAAATGTGACGATTTTGTGTTGGGTCCCATTCGAAGCTGTGTCTGGCTTCACGCAGCCCGCAGACTGCAGGTTGGAGAAGCTTGGTCTAAGTAGTAGCCCATGTGGGGACAGCTGCTCTATTTGCAGAGTGACTGTTCCACGTCACACATAGTGGGCTGTTTGTACATAAGCTAGCCTGCCTGCACATACGCTGTGCCCTATGCAGAAAGGCTGGCCTATATGCAGATCAGCTCACTTCTGGTTCCCCCAAATGCAAAAATGTTCTAATAAACATGCTACTCAGATTGGCTGATCAGAGGCAACTCACAGATCTGACATCAATTAGTTGCTCTGGACCTGACCTCAGTGTCCATCCTGAGGACAGCTGCTGGCCCAGGACACATACATGCCGATTCTCTCACCGTAGACCCCACCAGCTAAGTGGGACACCACCACAGGGTGTGGTTCATTTTCATGCATGTTAGTGCTGTTCTCTGTCCATCCTTGCAAAGCAGGCAAAGCAGGTGGTCAAGAGGGAAGCAAATGTCAGAACTGTCCTAGTTGTCTGTGAAGTCCCCCAGGCCTCAGCCTGTGGCTCTGAACCCGTTTTCCTGCCATGATGCTGGGCAGCATCCAGGATGTGCATCTGGGCTTCTGCCAAGCTTCCTGCAGGATAGTGTGGGGAAACTCTCCTTCCGCTTCTGAAATGATGCTGCTAAACGCCTCTGCCTACCCAACAGATAAACTGGTACTTGCAATATGCTTGCAGCTTTGGTGTGGGAATGGGGTTGCCTATTATGCATAGTTATATTTAATAAGAAACTAAACTGAAAGCTCACTGCAGTAAACAAGCATTTGGATTCTCATCCTGGCTCTGAAACGACTGGGAAATCGTTGGAGATTGATGCATCCCTAGAGGCATCTCTTGAACCCAGGGTCATCTGGCCTCCATGTGGCTGTGTGTGCACAGACGATTCTTCTCCAAGATGATCCTATGGGTCCTGAAAGACCTTGGCACAGGGGCCTCCAGACTGCGGTAACACCATCCTCCCTTCTGAAACCCAGGCAGAGAGGCTTGGAGAGTGGCACTGGGGAAATACCAGGAATGGCCAGCAAGAGGAAGAGACCCTCTGCCTGCCCAGTCACTGTGTGCCCAGAGAGAAGTGTGGGTGTGTAGGGAGGGACACAGCCCTGCCTCTGCTAAGGGAGAGATCTCCAAGGCTGCTGCCTATGGGGGCTGTGTGGAGGTACAGCCCCCACCTCTGCCCTGGGCCCCCAGCACCCAGCCTGCCATGGTCAGTCACAGCCTTCCCATGCCTTGAGTGTCTGGGGAGGGCCGGGAAGACCAGGAGGCACAGGGATGGAGTCTGGGGCTGATCTTCCTTGGAGATGCCCCAGCTTGTGGCCTCGCATTGGGCCTCTCCACGTGGCCTGTGTGTTGGGCCTGGCTCACCCCAGCCATCCTCACATTGTACAAGAGACCCTTGTCCCCACCGCGTTGCACCGCGTGTGGCACCCTGGGTAGAGGCCCAGCTCTGGAGTCAGACTGGGGAAAAATACGTTGGCTCTGCCAATGCTCACTGTGTGCTCCTGGACAGGTAACTAAACCTGTCTGTGCTTGTTTCCTCCTGTTAAAATGGGGACAATAATCAGATATACTTTAAGGTTTGTGCTTATTTTGAATTACACAAGAAACAGAGCTGGAGTCAAGGATTGTTGGCACTAATCATTTGAGAGACTATCCCAGGGAGAGCTGGGAATGAGTGGTGATGTCATGATCCGGCGCTGCTGAGCCTGAGGAGGTCTGAGAAGGCCCAGCGGAACCCTCTTGGGGGCCAGCACTCACGGCACAGGGAAATTCGGAGACCGGGCCAACCCCTAAGGACTCTGCCTCCAGAGTTTGTTCATTGTTCACTCATTCATTTAGCAGTTACGTGTGTCGCCCGGCGCTGCTCTCATGGATGGACTCTCGGCCTTTAATGTGCTCTCTCACCAAAGGGAGATGAGGGCAGCTGACAAAGGCCCCCTTCTGAGTTCCTGCCAGGGCCTGGATTCCAACGGTGAAACTTTCCTCTGGGATTAACCACATGGTGTTCAGGCATCTCAGAATCGTTCAGTAGGAGGCAACACCTTGGCCATGGAGCCGGGGACACCGACACAGGGAGGGGAGGCCTTGGCCGTGGAGCAGAGTGATTCCTAGTAGAGCCGCATGGGAAGCTGTGGCATATGGGTACTGCCTGTACTCTCTGGCTCACTTGCTTACTCATGTATTGCTTGTTTGCGCAGCACCTGCTCTCTGCCAGACACTCTCCTGGGTACAGGGATGCAATATCCCTCATGAGCTCAGACACATACAGGACAGCCAGACAATACAGCAAAACAGAAGTGAACACTGTTTTAGATGGTGAGGAGTGGCAGGAGGGGAAATCATGCGAGAAAAAGCAGGAGTGCAGATCATGACGGAGGGAAGTGCTGGAACCCAGAGGGGAGGCTTCAGGTGGTCCTGGGCTGAAGCAGGGGCTGGGTCAGGAGGAACAACTGAGGCTGGACGCAGAAGAGAACAGGGTGACCGGGCATAAGGCAGGGGGACACTGTTTGAGTCTTGGATGGAGAGAGTGTGAGTTGGGTGCAAAAATCCTAGAGAAGTAGCTACGGTCTGAGCTGCCAGGCACCAGGAGCGGGAGCTGTGAGCATACTTGTGGCCTCCCACCTGAGGCCACAGGAGGGAGACTCATAGGATGTCCTCCCTTTGCACTTGCTGCTTAAGGTCTCAGGGTGTCAGAGATGAGGACGTGTGTTCATGTGATCCTGCCCCTAGTGGGTCAGCTCATGAAGCAGGGAAGGCTGCCCAAGCTGACGCTAAACTCCCATAACTACCCTTGACCAAGCAGGTCTCTGAAAGGGGACTGTGAGTCCCACTGCAGGAAGGGACAAAGCTTAAAGCACCAATTCGCATTTTATCCTGAAGACCTGAGAGTCTTTCAAACTTATAGAGGTTTTTTTAGTTAAAGAAGAGGAGAAAATGTAAAGAAAAAGGAAAGGATAGGAATAAAATAGACCTTGAAAACCCAATGGAAACAAACCAAATTTGGCTTCTGATAATATAATTTCATAATGCTTCATTGAAATATCATGTACTTACAGAAAAGTGCTCAGTAGATTTTGAAAAACCAAGCTCACCCTGTGGCCATTACCTGGACACTGGAGCAGGGTGTGAGCTGCCCGCAGTGCCTCTGTGGTCCCTCCAGCGTGGCCTCCTCCAGGGAAAACACTGTCCTTACCCCAGCAGCACAGACTAGTTTCTTCGTGGAATTTCTTTTTCCCAAGGACCACAAAGGAAGCAGGGAGGCAGGGAATGGGGGGCAGTTTCCCTTCTTAAAATAATGTGACTGGAGGGAAAGTGGATACAGGCGGGAACCCTCAGCAAGCTCCAAGGAGCCCCACCGCCATTCAGTATCCGTCACGGAGCAGCCACAGTGAGGCCAAAGTTGCAGCTCACATTAAGAACAATTAACAGTTTTACACCACTTTTCCACATTCTTTTTAAAAAATTACGTTCTTGCATTATTTTCCCCATATGGATTTTTAAACATGAGAGTGCCTAAGTCGATTGGACGGAAGTTCAATCTGGTCTTGATTACCTCTGACTTCGTGAGTTAATGAGCGCTAAGTAACTCACCTTTCCTTTAATCTGGAAGCAGTGGCCCTGCCTGTGGGGTGGGGGACACAGGCTGAGAGTGGACCACAGGCTCCGAATCACCTATTCTGGTGCATGTGTCCTACTCTCAGGCCACAGATCCACAGGGTCAGACTGAGCTGCGGGGAGTGTGGCCCCACCCTGTTTCCCTTAAAGCAGGTTACAGAGGATTGACCTAGTGGGGTCACAGAGAGCACCGTGAGCCTGAGACCCAGGCTCTGGTCCTACCTTATCACGAACTCACTGTGGGCCTCAGCCTGGCCAGACCTCTCTCAGGGTCTCTGTTTCTGCATCTGTATAATGAGGCCCCATCTGTAGTGTTAGATGGAAACTGAGTAAGGACTAGAGGGGTTGGGGGTGATTCACCAACTCTTTACCCCTCAACAGAGCAGAAGGACAGCTTCCAGAGTGTGCTTCCAGAGGGCCCTGGGCGTGTTGAGTCCTAAGAGGAAGGAACCCCCATCATCATGGTACATGCTGTGTAACCCCACAGCCTGGCTCACTGTGTCCACTGGAACCCACGTCCTTGGGGTCAGAAACCTGGAAACAGCCACTCTGTTCACAGAGAAGCAACCTTTCAGTGTTTTCCTTTCCCCTTACCACAGGGATGGCCGTGTTAGAATTACACTCCTCTACACCAGCCAGGTGAGTTACTGCAGGCTTATGACTTCATAGGTCACCTGGCATGCATTTGTAACAAAATCTTTGATGTGATAAAGCAACAGACTCCATTGCAAAAAACATTAGCAATCTCTCCTCACTAAGTCACAACTTTGATAAAGTGTTTTCTATTCAAAAAACTTAGTGCAATTATGGTGCAGAGCTGAGATCTCAGCACAATTTCATTTACAATCAACCTGGCATCTCCAATGCACTAATTGAAGCATTATCACTATTGTCTTCCGTATGAAATATGCGCAAAGTATATTTCTTTCCCTTTATCCCCCCAGTAAATAGCATATTCTGGACATGTAGCATTTCAATGAATGTGGCAGTAGGCCACGGGGACCACTGACCCTCACACCTGAGAGGACACTGAGGCCCTTGGAGGTGGAGAGACTGCCCAATGCACACAGCTCATGTCAGTGCCTCTGTGATGGCTTTCCCCCCAGGTGACTGTCACCCCAACATTTTACTGACACACACAGAGTTCCTGGCTCTGTCCTCCCACCAGCAAACTTTGTGCATAGCCAGAGTCTCCTCCCGCCTGCTGCACTTGGGGTTTATAGAGAGCACTTAGGCCTGCAGGAGCTAAGATTGCACAACTGCACTCCAGGCTGGGGAACAGAGTGAAACTTCATTAAAAAAAAAATCCACAGCTAAGTTGATGCAAAAGCAGCATCTAAATCATAGACTAGAAAAAGCAGCCACCACATGTGACAGTGAAGCTTCAGAAACTGCCTTTGGGAGGTAGGAGCAAGGCAAAGATATGCCCTTTCTATGTACCCTTTCTATGCAACCTCGGGTAGAGTTACCGGCTTGTGCAATAATGCAAGAAAATGAACTAAATGTGGAACAATGGGTCAGGAATAAAAGGAAACCATCATTCTTTATTGACCCTATAAAAATCTACATTTTAAAAGGTCATAACAAATAAGAGAGTTCAACTGGACACAAGACTAGTAAACAAAACTATCAGCAGTACCCAATTCATAATTATAAAAAGCAATTTCATTTGACATCAACAAAAGTTATCAGTTACCTAGGAATACATCAACTAAGACAAGGGTAATAACTTTATGAAAAAATAAAGATATCAGTGAAGAATATTTTTAAAGATGTCTATAAATGGGGAGGTGTGGTGAGACCTGCATGGTAAAGCGATGAAGTCTCCCCAAGTGAGGTGATGAATTTGATGCAGTTCCCACCAAGCACACACCCATGGGGACACGTTCACCTGCATCTGTTTACGTGTTTTTTAAAACTTGACTGGCTGACTCCAAAAACAATACAGGACAATAATAACCAAGATACTTTTAAAGGAGAAAAAGTAAGTCGAGGATACATTACACCAGATATAAGCACACCATATAAATCCATTGCAATTACAGCCACATGATATCTTGGTAGAAGAGAAAAATAGACCAAAGGAAAAGAGTACAGAGCACCAAAGAAGACCCTCTTCTGTGTTGAAACTTAGTCTATTAGAAAACAAATAAAGTGCCCAATCGTTTGGGCAATTGGCTCTTCATTTTGAAAAAAGATACCTTTAGATCTATACCTCAAGACATACACAAAGGTTATTTTCAGGTGGACTGAGAAACTTTATAAATATAGCAAGACTCTTTAGATGAAAATATAAGAAAATATATTTTGAATACATTTTGTGGATTTCGCAAAATACATAGAAAAATCACATGATCAAAAGATTAATAAAATTGACTAAAATTTAATAATAAATATATCTATAATAATTTTTTAAAAAATAATAATAAAATCTAAACTTTCCCTTCCACAAATGATATGGAGACTAGGATAAGGTATTTGTAAAACATCTTGTGAACTAAAGATTTCTATTGAGAGTACTTAAAGGTTTTTAAGTGGTGCTGGCTCCCCTCTTAGGGGACTCTTAGTTCAAACAGGTTTCCTCTCATGGCTGAAGTGTTGAGTGCCTTTTCCACTCCCGTTCTCTCACAAGTGTGCAGAGGCAACTGACGTGTGATGTCACTGCAGACTGAATACAGAATTCCACATGGGAAACTTGTTTCCCAGGAGCCAGGCAGCAGGAGCATTCACACATCTAAACAATGCTACTCCTGTCACCAGTTTCTAAAGAAAATATAGTTATTTTCGTAACATGTTATGTTATGAACATAACATAATCCTTGATGTTCATTAGCATAATGGATTCATTATGAGTTTTCACTAATTGGTTACTTAATGTGATGGTTACTATTGTCAACTTGATTGGATTGAAAGATGCAGAGTATTGTTCCTGGGTGCGTCCGTGAGAGTGTTGCCAAGGGAGATTCACATTTGAGTCAGTGGACCTGGGAGAGGCAGACCCACCCTCAATCTGGGTGGGCATCATCTCATCAGTTGCCAGTGTGGCTGGGATAAAAGCAGGCAGAGAAATGCGGAAGGACGAGACTGGCTGAGTCTTCCGGCCTTCATCTTTCTCCCACGCTGGATGCCTCCTGCCCTTGAATACCGGACTCCAAGTTCTTCAGTTTTGGACTCTTGGATTTACACCAGTGGTTTGCCAGGGGCTCTCGGGCCTTTGGCCCCAGACTGAAGGCTGCACTGTCGGCTTCCCTACTTTTGAGGTTTTGGGACTCAGACTGGCTTCCTTGTTCCTCGGCTTGCAGCCTACTGTGGGACTTCACCCTGTGATCGTGTGAGTCAATACTACTTAATAAACTCCCTTTCATATACACTTCTATCCTATTAGTCCTGTCCCTCTAGAGACTAATACTCTTAAGATTTTAAATTGTTCTCCATTTTCATCTTTAACATGGTAAATGTTAATAGATAAACCATACTTATTAGGGTTCTCAATTACTTCTTATTATTTTTTTAATTGACACAATATGGCACATATTCGTGGGGTTCACAGGGATGCTGCAGTACATAGAATGAATCAAGGATTAGATCAGGGTGGCGAACACATCCATCGTCTCAAACACGATAATTTCTCCTCCTAGCTATCTGAAACTATGAATTATAGTTAACTATAGTCACCCTACAGTGCCAAAGAACCATAGGACTTATTTTTCCCATCCAGCTGTAATTCCATATCCTTTAAAAAATCTCTCCCTATCCGTCCCCTCTCCCTCCCCTTCCCAGCCTCTAATATCCTCTGTTCTACTTTTTACTTCTATGAGAGCAACATTTTTTAAAGTTTCCACATGTCAGTGAGAACATTCAGTATTTAACTTTCTGTTCCTGGCTTATTTCACTTACCATAATGTCCTCCAGTTCCATCCGTTTTGCCATGAATGACAGGACTTCATTTTTTTTTACAGATGACTAGTATTCCACTGTGTGTATATACCACGTTTTTTATCCAGTCATCTGCTGTTGGACACCTAGGTTGATTCCACGTCTTGACTATTGTCAATAAACATGGGGTTGCAGATATTGGTTTGATATACCGATTCCTTTCCTTTGGATAAATGTCCAGGAGTGGGATTGCTGGATCTTATGGTAGTTCTGATGTGGGGCAGGTGAGCCCCAAGGTGGAGTTTAGTCTGCAAGGGTTCTTGCCTTTGCCCAGGAAAGAATTCAAGGGCAAGCCAAAGGAAGAAGAAAACAGCTTTATTTATTTAGAGACGGAATCTTGCTCTGTCACCCAGGCTGGAGTGCAGTGGAGCGATCTCGGCTCATTATAACCTCCGCCTCCTGGGTTGAAGAGATTCTCCTGCCTCAGCCTCCCAAGTAGCTGGGATTACAGGCACGCACCACGACGCCCACCTAATTTTTGTATTTTTAGTAGAGACGGGGTTTCAACATTTTGGCCAGGCTGGTTTTGAATTTCCCACCTCGTGATCCGCCCACCTCAGCCTCCCAAAGTGCTGGGATGACAGGCGTGAGCCACTGTGCCCGGCCAAAAACAGCTTTATTAATAAAGAAGAAATGTTACAGCTCTGAGACGGTTCCTGCAGAGCAGGGCTACCCTCTCTGCCCTGTAAGAAGAGAAGAGCAGCTCGGGGCAGTTTTGCAGTCATGTTTAATCCACTTTTAATTTCACGCGGATTAAAGACGGTTTATGCAGAAATTTCTAAGGAAGGCATAGTAACTTTTGGGTCATTGAGTCATTGCCATGGAAAGGAGCGGTAACTCCCGGTGTCGTCATGGCAACGATAAACTTCCATGGCACTGGTGGGTGTGTCTGATTGAAAGCTGCTTCCGCCCCAGCCCTGTTTTAGCTAGTCCTCAATCTGGTCCGGTGTTCGAGCCCCACCTCTGGAGTTGAGTCCCACCTCCTACCTCAGTTCTGTTTGTAGTTCTGTGAGGAACCTCCACACTGCTTTCCACAGTAGCTGTACTGGTTTACATTCCCACCAACAGTGTCAAGAGTTCCCTTGGTTATTTTTTGTCTTTTTGATGAACGCCATCACAACTGGGGTGAGATGATATTTCTTTTTTTTTTTTTAATTTTTTTTTTAATTATTATACTTTAAGTTTTAGGGTACATGTGCACATTGTGCAGGTTTGTTACATACGTATACATGTGCCATGCTGGTGTGCTGCACCCATTAACTCGTCATTTAGCATTAGGTATGTCTCCCAGTGCTATCCTTCCCCCCTCCCCCCACCCCACAACAGTCCCCAGGGTGTGATGTTCCCCTTCCTGTTTCTATGTGTTTTCATTGTTCAATTCCCACCTATGAGTGAGAACATGAGGTGTTTGGTTTTTTGTTCTTGCGATAGTTTACTGAGAATGATGATTTCCAATTTCATCCATGTCCCTACAAAGGACATGAACTCATCATTTTTTATGGCTGCATAGTATTCCATGGTGTATATGTGCCACATTTTCTTAATCCAGTCTATCATTGTTGGACATTTGGGTTGGTTCCAAGTCTTTGCTATTGTGAATAGTGCTGCAGTAAACATACGTGTGCATGTGTCTTTATAGCAGCATGATTTATAGTCCTTTGGGTATATACCCAGTAATGGGATGGCTGGGTCAAATGGTATTTCTAGTTCTAGATCCCTGAGGAATCGCCACACTGACTTCCACAATGGTTGAACTAGTTTACAGTCCCACCAACAGTGTAAAAGTGTTCCTATTTCTCCACATCCTCTCCAGCACCTGTTGTTTCCTGACTTTTTAATGATCGCCATTCTAACTGGTGTGAGATGGTATCTCATTGTGGTTTTGATTTGCATTTCTCTGATGGCCAGTGATGGTGAGCATTTTTTCATGTGTTTTTTGGCTGCATAAATGTCTTCTTTTGAGAAGTGTCTGTTCATATCCTTTGCCCACTTTTTGATGCGGTTGTTTGTTTTTTTCTTGTAAATTTGTTTGAGTTCATTGTAGATTCTGGATATTAGCCCTTTGACAGATGAGTAGGTTGCAAAAATTTTCTCCCATGTTGTAGGTTGCCTGTTCACTCTGATGGTAGTTTCTTTTGCTGTGCAGAAGCTCTTTAGTTTAATTAGATCCCATTGGTCAATTTTGGCTTTTGTTGCCATTGCTTTTGGGGTTTTAGACATGAAGTCCTTGCCCATGCCTATGTCCTGAACGGTAATGCCTAGGTTTTCTTCTAGGGTTTTTATGGTTTTAGGTCTAACGTTTAAGTCTTTAATCCATCTTGAATTGATTTTTGTATAAGGTGTAAGGAAGGGATCCAGTTTCAGCTTTCTACATATGGCTAGCCAGTTTTCCCAGCACCATTTGTTAAACAGGGAATCCTTTCCCCATTGCTTGTTTTTCTCAGGTTTGTCAAAGATCAGATAGTTGTAGATATGCAGCGTTATTTCTGAGGGCTCTGTTCTGTTCCATTGATCTATATCTCTGTTTTGGTACCAGTACCATGCTGTTTTGGTTACTGTAGCCTTGTAGTATAGTTTGAAGTCAGGTAGTGTGATGCCTCCAGCTTTGTTCTTTTGGCTTAGGATTGACGTGGCGATGCAGGCTCTTTTTTGGTTCCATATGAACTTTAAAGTAGTTTTTTCCAATTGTGTGAAGAAAGTCATTGGTAGCTTGATGGGGATGGCATTGAATCTATAAATTACCTTGGGCAGTATGGCCATTTTCATGATATTGATTCTTCCTACCCATGAGCATGGAATGTTCTTCCATTTGTTTGTATCCTCTTTTATTTCCTTGAGCAGTGGTTTGTAGTTCTCCTTGAAGAGGTCCTTCACATCCCTTGTAAGTTGGATTCCTAGGTATTTTATTCTCTTTGAAGCAATTGTGAATGGGAGTTCACTCATGATTTGGCTCTCTGTTTGTCTGTTGTTGGTGTATAGGAATGCTTGTGATTTTTGCACATTGATTTTGTATCCTGAGACTTTGCTGAAGTTGCTTATCAGCTTAAGGAGATTTTGAGCTGAGACAATGGGGTTTTCTAGATATACAATCATGTCATCTGCAAACAGGGACAATTTGACTTCCTCTTTTCCTAATTGAATACCCTTTATTTCCTTCTCCTGCCTAATTGCCCTGGCCAGAACTTCCAACACTATGTTGAATAGGAGTGGTGAGAGAGGGCATCCCTGTCTTGTGCCAGTTTTCAAAGGGAATGCTTCCAGTTTTTGCCCATTCAGTATGATATTGGCTGTGGGTTTGTCATAGATAGCTCTTATTATTTTGAAATACGTCCCATCAATACCTAATTTATTGAGAGTTTTTAGCATGAAGGGTTGTTGAATTTTGTCAAAGGCCTTTTCTGCATCTATTGAGATAATCATGTGGTTTTTGTCTTTGGCTCTGTTTATATGCTGGATTACATTTATTGATTTGCGTATATTGAACCAGCCTTGCATCCCAGGGATGAAGCCCACTTGATCATGGTGGATAAGCTTTTTGATGTGCTGCTGGATTCGTTTTGCCAGTATTTTATTGAGGATTTTTGCATCAATGTTCATCAAGGATATTGGTCTAAAATTCTCTTTTTTGGTTGTGTCTCTGCCCGGCTTTGGTATCAGAATGATGCTGGCCTCATATAATGAGTTAGGGAGGATTCCCTCTTTTTCTATTGATTGGAATAGTTTCAGAAGAGATGATATTTCAGCATTGTGGTTTTGACCCTGAGAAGAAACAGTTTGAGCATCTGTGGTGCTGGGAAGTTCTTGAATGCCACCCTCAGGAGTTCTAGGGTCACCCTTCTGAGGACGACAGGAGTGGAGGAAGGGCTTCCAGCAAGAGGCAGACCTTACCAATGAGTAGAACCTGGCAGCAAGAGAAGAACTAGATGTGGGGGCAGGAGGGTCAGATGGGAGAGGACCCGCTCATGGCAGGTGCCCTACCTGCAGACGCTGCAGTCCTCCCCACACTCCAGGCCCACCGCACCACAGGGCACAGCCTGGCAGCCTTCTCTCAGCCACGGTCCCACTCAGCACCTCTTGTACATGTGGAAGGGGCTCCATGCTCTGCAGAGGAGCAGAGGAAGTGGGGATGTAGGGAAAATAGAGAGCGGTGGAAAACTGGGTGGGCCACAAATGGCCAGGATCTTCCCTCCGCCATCGTGTGTGGGCTGGGTGGTCACAGTGTCCTCAGAGCCTTGACATCTGCACCTGTGAGATGACACTTGCCTGCCCACCTCTGAGCATCCCAGTTGTGCCCACAGCCCCGGGTGAGGGCAGGGCCGAGACGTGTGCCCAGATTGCTGTATTGATGTTGAATAGACCTGCTGGAAAGGGTTCCAGACGCTATCACACATGGAGTGGGACAGGATGAGCATTCCAACCTTTCATTGAAAGTTCTGTTTATATGTAGCTGCCAAACACCTTGGTGAGTGGACTATTCTTCCAAGATGGAAATGAACTTGTCCTACCCAAAATGGGGCAGTGCTGTGGTTCAGCAGGAGACACACCCCCAACCCAAAGCAGGTGTGTGAGGAGGGGGTGGCAAAGGGGATGCATGCCCCTATCACAATGGGTTTTCGTTCACAGCAGGACTCCCTGGAGGTCCTCAACCAGGTGGCACCTGAGTCGGGGCCTGGGGACTGGCTAGAGTCAGCTGACAGCAGCTGGAGCACACGTCAGAAAAACACAACCCACTGGCCTAGAGCTCCCGTCCCTGCCCTGTCTCTAACCTGGCCTTTGATGCCTTTTATTTTTCTTTCCTCAAATGCACATTATTAACTGCAGATGCCCAGCTGAGAAGATGAGAGAAAGTTAATGAAATTACACGAGTGCTTTGCTGAGTTCTCTTTCAAACTACAGCTTGTTAAGTTAAAACAGCAGTGTGAAGGGTGTAGCTCTCTGTGAAGTTTCTGGATGTGGCCCTGGCCTCAGGGAGGCTTGTGGGGTGGTCAAGGAAGCCTGGCAGAAGGTAGTTCATGGCAGAGACACCAGCCACATGTGGGCCTTCCTGTGTGGGCCTTGCCTGTGTGGGCCTGTCTTTCCCTTGCTGGTCTCCTGTCTCAAGTTCTCCCATCCCTGCTTCTCACGTCTGTGGGCCTGACCACTCACTGCCTTGATACACCCAGCTCCTTGCCCTCCAGCCTGGGCTCAGGTGCACTGCCCCGCAGGACTACAGGGTCATTTCCATGACTCAGTTCCTGGTTTGCCTGTCACCCCCCACCTCCCCTTCTGCAATTGCCTGTCCTCCCACCTGGTTTTATTTTCTTCATTTCCAGTTTTTATTTCTCATGCTTTTTGTTTCTTTTCCCTGTAGGAGTGTGAGCCCTGCGAGGAAGGAAACCCCAGCTCGTTAGGCATTCGTTAGTGTGAGCAAGTTGCTGCCATCAGTCAGATGGGTAACGTGGTGCCTGCCTTTGGGGCTGTGAAGGGGATTGAATGAGCACAGCTGTGTGTTTGAGAGTGCCTAGATGTGAAGTGTGTTAGCCTTAGAGCATTGCACGTGGTAAGCACTATTGTGAGTGCCTAGATGTGAAGTGTGTTAGTCTTAGAGCATCGCACATGGTAAGCCCTATTATCATGACCATTGTCAGCATTCACTGCTGTGTACCCAGCACCTTGCACGGGGCGTGGCACGTGGGAACCCCCAGTTGACAGAGTCCAGTGAAAGGAAGAATGAGTGAGTGAGCGGGTGAGTGGGTGAGGGATGGTGCCCTGCACAGGGGACCTCCCCCAGCACGATGCAACCTGTGCTCTCAGGCCCAGCCTCTGTCATTTAGTCGCTTTTTGTTTCAAGTTCCCAGAGTGAGTAGTAAATACTTCAACCAGTCAGAGTTCTCAAAAAAAGCTCAGTGAACATGTGTAATGATTCATTCAGCATTTGCTCAGTGCCTACATAAAGTAGGCTGAGGCTAGAAATGGCAACTAGCACATACACCATGCCCTGGGGATCGAAATATAACAGAGGAGAAAGCCATGTAAAATGAATTTTCAAAGGCATTTGAGACCTAAGATCTCGGGGAAATGACTGTGGGACGGTGGGATTACTGGCGTTCCTTCCAGATGCTACAGATGATGCCCCGTGGCAGCTCTTCCCACAGAGGGTGACTTTTATGAAGTCCTCAGGGGCTGCACCTCAGCATTTGGCAGCCCAGCTTGAACCCGAGCCCCTTTACTTCACAGCTCTGAACCTCACTTCTTCAACTGTGAAATGGGAACAGGAATGGCAAAGCCTGCCTTGGAGGCTGCCTGAGTACCGAGGGACCCAATCAACGCGTGCAGTGTGCGTGGCAGCGCGGGAAGCTGCATACTGTTCACATCTCCTCCTCTTCTCCAACAGTCCTGGGTGCAGTGTGTGCGGGAAGCTGCATACTATTCACGTTTCCTCCTCTTCTCCAAAAGTCCTTATGTCGTCCATGGCATGGGCGGGAAGCTGCATACTGTTCACATTTCCTCCTCTTCTCCAACAGTCCTGGGTGCAGTGTGTGCGGGAAGCTGCATACTGTTCACATCTCCTCCTCTTCTCCAACAGTCCTGGGTGCAGTGTGTGCGGGAAGCTGCATACTATTCACATTTCCTCCTCTTCTCCAACAGTCCTTGTGTTGTCCATGGCATGGGCGGGAAGCTGCACACTGTTCACGTCTCCTCTTCTCCAACAGTCCTTATGTCGTCCATGGCATGGGCGGGCCAGCACTGGGCCTCAGTGCTTCTGATTGTGCCATTTCAACTTCAGTGAGACGCATTTTTTTCCCACTGGCAGCTCAGGTAAGTCCCTTACCTCCCCAAAACAGCACCCTGTGAAATCACCTTCTTGCAGCCGGGTCAGACAGTTCGCCTTGTAGGTTTAATGAACGGTCTCCTGCATTTATCTCAGCTACTGCAGCCCAGTGTCTGGGGAAAGGCTGAGGGTGGTCTGAGGGCTGTGCTGGGCACTTTTTCAGGCTGCCAAAGCCTGTTCTTGGGAGGCAGCTGACCTCATCAAAAGGAGTTCAAGCAAGGGGCTGAGGGGCCGCATCTCCCGAGCACGGCAGACCTGGGGAATCAGTTTGGCCTTCCTTGTTCAGGTTGGGGACACCTCGCCCCATCACCCATCCCACCACACTAGGCTCTGCATCTCCCTGTCTGCTCCTTTACAACAGTTTACTATGGAATGCCCTCAGGGATACAGGAGTGCATCCAGGTGAAGCCTGTGGGGGAAATCCTACCACGTCTGCCATTTGCTGAACTTCTCAAAACTTAGCCTCAGGACCATTAAGTCTCCCCTGGTTTTGGTGGGGATGACCAGCTTTATGCCCCATTTCCTTATGCCTGGGCATGCGATGGACAGGACACTGACCTCTCCATTCCCAGTGCAGGCATCCGGGGGCAAATACTCCCTGGCCACCTTTGACTCTCAGCTGGCTGCTCCATGCTGCCCGCGTCTTAAGACCAGGAAATACTCCATATTTGCCCCTTTCTATTGGCCTTTTCCTGAGCCCAGCTTAGAACATGCAAAACCCAACTATTACTGTAACATAATTAATTACTCCTATTCCTACGTCACTGTTAATAAGATCTCCTAGGCCATTTCCACGTCTCAGGTCTAATGAAGGCGCTAGAAACGCAGAAGAGAAGTAAGATACACTGTGCCAGCCTTTGGAGGCTGCCGAGTAGATGACCCTGGAATGTTCCCTTTTCCGCACTGCGCTGGACATGCCAGTTAAATGACCCTCAGTATTACCTTTTCCACATTGCACTTGACAGAACACCGATTTGATCACAGAAAAGCACTGAACTGACTCATAAATTTGGGGCAGGTTCCCTACTTTACTTTCGCCTTGGAGATGAGCACACATTTGTTTGTGAAAGCTTCAGAGAAGTTTTGCAATAATCAATCATTTTTACTCAGGGTTTCCTGAAATTTCCTGATTATAGAAATCAATTTTTAAAATATTTTTTGTAGAATGATACTAACATTCCTCAAAATACTGGTGATCCAATAAACGTGGATCATGGCTACTGTGGATTCAGTGTCAGAGACAAGGAAACCAGGGCTTCTGAGGCAGAATTCACTAGGTTCACCTTGGGAGTCGACTGCAGAGTGAAATGAACCAGAGGGCACCCTTGCCCACTCTTACGTCTGGGCCTTTATGTCCCCACCTTTTCTCTGTTTTTACTGGTGTCTGCACACTGTATTTGTGTGGCGTGTCAAGGCACAAATGTACAGGGAATGTCAAATCAGAAAAGTTCACTCTCTGCCTTGGCAGCTCTCATCTGCAGGAGTGTGTGTGCACGGGGGTAGTGGTGCAGCCAGTGAGCACAGCACATTCAGCTGGCAGCACCCCGAGATGAGGATGAAGTGACTGGGAAGGTCACAGGAGAGGAGGGCTGCAGGTCCCGGGTTCTTCATGGAGGACAAGGTGTTTGTATGGGGTCCTGGAGGAGAGGCACGAGGACCTCTGCTTTATCCTAGCTTGCAGCAGGCTAGAAACACCCAACAGATAACTCCCCAAAAGGGAATAACATGGGACAACTTTGCCCCTTTGACCCTACAAATAGGTTTTATTTCCAGTACGATGAGCAAGCACGCTGAACTGTCTTGCAGTTGCCCAATGGGTTCTTCCCACCCACTGTACAGACAAAACCAATTCACCGAGACTGTGGTACTGCACTAAAGAAACAGTTTAATTGATGCAGCTAGCCACGTGGGAGAAGGAGCTGCTACTCAAATCAGTCTCCCAGAAGAACGGGAGGTTTGGGTTTTTCAAGGATTGTTTGGTGGGCAGAGGACCAGGGAGTGGGTGCGGTTGATTGTTTAGGGATGCAGTCATAGGGTGTAGAAAACGATCCTGTCACGGAGTCTGCCTCTGGGTGGGGAGGTGGGAGTGCATAGGACCAGTTGAGTCATGAGCCATGGGTCTGGGTAGGGTCAGTCGGTTGGCAGAATGCAAAAATCTGGAAAACAGCTGAAAAAACCAAACTCAGGCTCTACAATAGTGTTGTTATCTACAGAAGCAATTGGAGAAGTCACAAATTGTGTGACTTCTAGCCATATGACTTCTGAACAATAAGGAATTACGGAAACTATGTCTACATTTTAGCAGAGTTCGGGCTCCTCCCGAAATCCTAATCACGTGGCCTTTCATTCGTTTTTGGTCCTCAAGGAAGGAGGGCTTTAGTTTTAGAGAGGGACTAGTATTGTTTTATAACTAAATTTCTCCCCGGATTAGTTTAGCCTGTGCCCAAGCATGAGCAGGACAGCCTGCCTGTGAGGCTAGAGGTAAGGTGGAGTCAGTCATGCGTGACCTCCCTCGCTGTCATAAGCTTTGCAAAGGTGGTTGCAGTCTTTCTCTGGTCAGAACACATGGTGCAGCCATCTGAGATCTTTGCAAATGGACAGTAGCAAGAGAAGTGGAGAAAGAGGCCAGAGTGTGGTGAGTTCCACCTCACTGAAGGCCAGCAAGGGGCGTGGATTGGCAGGATAGTATCCAGTGTGGAACACAGGAGGAGCACCAGTGAAGGGAAACCAGGTCGGGAGCATCAGCCGTGGGAAATCATAGAGGGAATCCTTGTTCTCCTGCTGCTTCCTGGGGTCTGCAGTCTCCCTGTCCATCAGACGCTGGCCCTCCTCGTGGCTTGCTGACTGTGCTTTATGAAATTCACGCTCACATTTCCCCATATTTTCTGAAGCAGTGGTGAGTCTGGTTCTTGACTGGTTTTGTTTCCAGACGGGTCCCTTCTGTCTTTTTACTCCCCACTTCCAGTGGGCACGTGGGTTTCCCAGGGCCTCAGGCCTTCTGTCTGCTCTAGGGGAAGCTGGGGACGTCTGGACTGTCCTCATAGAAGCGGAGACGTTTTGCTGCACCTTAGGGAATGGGGAGCAGTGGGGAGTCTTATGGAATCCCTGGTCTCTACTCCACCCCCGAGCTCCTGCTGAGAGGCCTGCTGTGCCTGTGCCCTCCCTGGGGGTGGCACAGTCCAGGATCTCCCCACCTGGCATCCTCTGAGGTGGATGCTCCTGCCTCTGAGACAGGCAGCCCTCTGCTTGCTTGCTGCTCCCCAGCATCTGTTTCTGACTCACTGCGCAAAACGGACAGGAAAGTTGAGGGTCCCTGCCCAGTGTCTGTCTCCAGGCACAGAGCCTCAGCGCCAGCTCTCAAAACTCTGTCTGCTCACCTGGGCAGCTCCAGGAGGCGGGGGAGGAGTCAGGAGCACAGCAGCCCCTTGAAACTTCCCAGGATGGCTGGTTTGGGGGTTTATCACATTATTTTTCTCCCTCTGGTTTTAGCCACTGTAGGCCAGTTTGTTCACAGATTTTTATCAACTTTGGCTCATTTCATTACCTTATCAGAGGTGGGAATTCTGAGGTCCCTAAGCCAGAGGCTTTCAGGGATGTGGCTCCCTCTGCCGCCCTGGCAGGGAGGGCGCAGGAGCCCCAGGTGGAGCCTCTGACCTAGATCCTTTGGCTCTAGAGCCTGGAGCCTTACCACAAGGCTGCCTGTGGGTTTGGTGTCGGCCTGGAGCCCAGGCTGCTGGTTATCTGGAGACAGCCTCCCTGTAAGATTTCTCTGAGACAAGAAACAATTACGCAAATTATCCTAATTCTGTTTTAAAGAATAGAGAGATTGATTGCAGAGACAAACCATTTAGGCAGGCAATGTAGAAGGTGTTTCCATGGCTAATCTGCCTTCAAAGGAGAGGGATTTTGTTTGTAAACTTCAGACCCAGAAAATTGATTGTTCTGTCAACTTTAGATAATTATCTGTCCTCCCTGAGGCCCTAAGCTTAGCAGAAATGTTCTTTCTCTGAATCAGTACTCAGCTTTGGATCTCTGTTGGGTTCCCTGTAGAGTGCTAAATCAGATTCCCCCAAAGCAGTGGATCAGGAGCCTTCCTCCAGCCACAGTGCCCATCCTGCCTGCAGAAGAATGGACAGAGGGATGGGAGGGCTGCAGAGCTGGCACTGTGTCCCTGGAGGGGCTGGTGGGGACTCACTGTTCGGGGGACAGGGGAGGCAGAGTCCACACTCAACTGCTGCGTGGAGATGGGCATGAAGGGCAGGCAGGTCTGGCCTTGGCCTTGCGGTTTGTTTCCATTAAAGACCTTCAAGACCAGAAAGGACCAATAGGGCTGGACTATGCAGGGAGAGAAGAGGTTCTAGGGAACTGAGTTCCGAAGTCTTCGTCTTCTCACTGTGCAATGGGGTTCGCCTATAAAGCAGGCTGCTTGTCCTCGGGAGAGCTCATTGTGGAGAAACATCACTGGACAGAGCCCCTCCTTATCTGCATCAGACTCCTCTGGTCTCCCCGGTTGCCTTTTTCTCTGCCCCTAAGGGCATCTGTCCCTGGAGAGGCTCTCAGGACAGTATCCTGGACACCCCCTGCCTGGACACCCCTTGCCTGGCACCCCTCCTCTCCACAATGTCATCAGAGAGCTCCACCTGCCCTTCTAGCCCCCTGGTCCAGCACTGCTGGTCATGAGGTTTGGGCCCTGTGACCTGCCCAGATCCAAGCTGTGGGGAAAGTTTGCTGAGACCAGTTTGGGGAACAGAGGGGCCTTGTTGTACCATTTGTTCTGGGCACAGGGGACCTCCTGCATCGTCTATCTCCTCCATGAGATGCTAGTTTCAGGGATTCCTTGGGGACACTGGAGAGCAGGGCTGGCTCAGGCAGGGGCCTGACCATAGTCCAGACAGTGCAGACCCTACCTGAGGTGCCACATGGGCCCTCATCAGTCTTCTCTTCACACAGTGGAGTCACTCCTGTGCCTCCCCTGTCTGCACTCCATTGAGCCGGGAAAGGCCTGCAGTAGCCAATGCCCACATTTGAGTTTCAAATGTGAATATACCCAGGGATTGCAATTTACCAAAAGACGAAGGAAAAGGCCTCTCCCAGTACTTGGTCAACATTATTCTGTGGTATTTTTCAGATGAAATTAGCATTTAAGCCAGTATACTTTTAGTAAAGCAGATTATGCTCCATAATGTGGGTGGGTCTCATCCAATCAGTTGAAGGCCTTAAAGGAAGAAATACTGACCTCCCAGGGGAAGAGGGAATTCTGCCCCTGGACTCAAGCCACTCTTCCTTGGATTCTAGCCTCTGTAATCACACGAGACAATTCTGGACATCTCCTCCTCTCTTTTCTGTTTCTCTGGAAAACCCTGACTAATGCAATTCTTGTTAAGCTGCTTTTAAGAAGTGTGAAGAAAATATTAAAAAGATGTAACTAAGAATTTTGAGTGGACGATCTAATTATTTCACACTGGCTGAGATCTCCCTGATGTTGACATTGCAATGACACTGTGCACTTCTTGGGGTAAGAAAAAGTGCAGTCTCAGTATCCCTCCCACTAAATAGGAAGGCAAATTGCCATTTCCCGAAAAGTCCAGAATAGTAAGTAGGTTGACGAGTAACTCTTGAAGTTACATAAGACAAATCAGTTGCAACAGAGGATCATAAACCCCTCGTGTACGGAAGGAAAACAAGTTTGTCAATGTGCAAACTGTAAGTCTAAGTTCCTACTTCTGTAAAAAGTAGAGTTTCCTCTTCAAAGACTTTCCTTCCCATCTCATTAGAAATAAATAGTAACTTCTCTTAGAAGCAAAATTTATTCAAAGACCCGTGCTAACATTCTTAAACATCTGCTAGCCCTAATAAAGAAATCAATGTACTTTATGTTCTTAGCTCCCACAATTTAGCCTAAATATTTGCCCTGGCATGCTTATACTAGTCCAAGCAAGCTTTAGGTCATTGCCTGTTCCTCTTCTTTATTCGAAGGTGTTTTTACTTTTTTCAGCATTCCACAAGTTACTTCCTCCTTCCTTTGTTCTCCTCTGCCTTTTCCTCTTTAAAAAAGTTCTAAGTTGCTAGCCAATCGGGACAAATACAGAATGTGAGGTCCCGTTCCAGCCACTGGAAACTGGACACAGCAGTAGGGTGGATGCGTCAGGTTATAAATGACCCTGTCTCCTTTGCTCAGTATACTGTTGTGGCAAAACTGCTGGCGAGTGTACACTTTCTGCAGAAATTAAAAAAAAAAAATGGCCTTGCTGAGGAAATTAAATTTACATTCAAGTGCTATTTCTTTACCGCACTGGGAACAAGCATTTCAAACAATTTCAACCCTGCTGGACCGCATCAAGTGAGGGCCGGGATGGAAAAGCGGCCGTGCCGAGGTGCCCCGGAAGCAGCCTCCGGAGTGTGCCTCAGAGTTTCTGGCCATTTCAGCTAAGACTTTTCTTCTGACAGACTAGAAGTGAAAAAAAGAATTATTTACTTTGCTGGGAAATGTGACAAAAGGTTAAAATTCTACTAGTTCATAAAATATTTGAAGCTAACTTTGTTTTTATAAATAAAATTGTATTTACAATTTAAGTTTTAGTTCTCATCCTTGCTGTTATAAAAGTTATTCTAAGTTATGTCAGTCTTTGAGGGTAAATGTAGAGTATTTAAAATAGCTTATATTTGGAAAACTGAACAGTGTTTGTTGTCATTATTTTACTTTGTTCTTGACCACATTGGTCCCAGAAAAAGTCAAGGTCTTCACCCACGGATTCAAGATTCTTGTGGCAGCTGCTGAATTCTTTTCCAACAATGCTTGGGCCTCATCAGCGTCATGTTTATGCACTACCCCAGCCCCAACCACAGACATGGGCAGGAGGAACAGAGCTCTACCGTGTAGCGTCACTGCCAGTAAGAGTCTGGCTCTCCCATGAAGCATTACTCTTCCTCTGCATGTATTTTAGAATTTCAAAAGCCATTTGGCCTCCATTTCTTTAGATTGTGGATAAGATCCATAAACTTGTACTGGGGTCACTGTTCCTCCAGCCTCTTTAGCACGTATCTGCAGTCTCATTTCCAGGCTGTTTCCTCTATGGGCCACTGACTGCAGAATTCCCAGATGAATCCACTGCCCATTCCCTGTAGCCACATCTCCAAATCCACAGCCGTTCTCAGCAGCTGCCTGCACACTCACATCCCAGAGGTCAAGTTGCCACAGCTGGTGTGTGTTTCCAGCCACTAGGCAACCCCAGGTCTTCATCTGAGCACCCAGGGCCAGAAGTCTCACCCTGTCCCCCGTACCATCCCTTCCCAGCCAGCCACAGTTTCCTTCCTTCTGTTGCCCACACAGTGCTCTCAGCCCCAGATGCCCTTCCTGACACTTCCTCCCAAGGAAACCCAAGTCCTCCGTCAGGGTCCACCCAAATGTCCACACCCTCTGGTAGCCTGCCCAGCCCCAGAGGCTCCCCTGAGCTCCCTTCCCCCATTAGAGCCTACAGAGGCAGTGCTGCCCAGCAGACATCTCGGCTGGGAGTCAAACAGAGCAAGGCTATTTTGGTCCCTCTCTCCACTCTATGTGACCCTGAAATGTGCCCTGGCCTTAGGAAACATTCAGCTACATCAGAGAACGTGAGTATGCATGTGGTTTGTATAACACAGGCAAGACATGGTTTTTAGATACGTTCAGAATAGATAGTTACAGAGAACAGGTATGTTACATGTGGGAAGGAAGAGACACAAGGGCCAAGAGATACTTAATATGCATGAGGCTCCTGGGCACTAAATGTTCAATTCACAATGTGCCTTTATACAAGAGACACCTAAACATGCAGAACCATGGGGCCTTTGTTCACCACCATTCCTGGTGCCCATTCTGGTCCCATGCGTCCTCTGCCCAAGAAACACGTAGAACCCATGGCAGTGCGACAGCTGCTTCTTGGCAACGCCACCATGATCAGGCACACTTGTCCCATGTCTGTCCCGTTGAGCCGGTGTGTGTCATAAGCCCTTCAGCTGTGAGCACTCTTGCCCAGACCTCGGCTCTGGTCCTCGTGGTCACACCTGAGTGGGTGAGGTTGACTAGCAGAGAAAGAAGAGAACTGATGAATGTTGACAGCACAGGAATCAGGTCATACGGCCCTCCCATCTCCTTCCCTCAGCTTCTTGCTGTGTTTTATGAATGGATTTTATAAACCTGTGATTCGAGCATCCTCAGTTGCTTCTCGAGCCTTTCCGCTCCATGAACTCTGGGACAGCTTGCCTGGTAATGCAACTGGAGGACATCATTGCATCCAGAGAGCTTCCCACATGACAGTCTGTGAGCAAGGGACTTCGCCTCCCTGGATGGTGGTTTTCTTTTATGTAAAAGATGTGATCGTAGTCTCTATTTCTCAAGGGTGCTGTGAGAAACACACAGAATAAGGCCACGTGAAAGTGTGTGGCAGGTAGCGGATGCTCAGTAACGTGAAGCCTGCCCTTCCCGTAGCCTTTCTCTTCCTCCACTAGGTCTAGACTTCACATTGTCCCATGGTTCAAGATCCTTGGTTCATCCCAAGTCTTATCATCATCCCAGAAGGTTGGAGGGAGCTCCTGGGGAAATCCAGCTTCACGGTCCCACACTGATCACTTCCCCTGGGCATGGCCTGGTAAATGCAGCTCAGATCCGCTCCCCAGGCAAGTCAAGGAAGTTGCTGCCCAGAAACCAAGTGAGGACATTTACAAGAACCGGCGGCGGCGGCGGCAGCAGCAGCAGCAGCAGCAGCAGCAGCAGCAGCAGCAGCAGCAACTGGATTTGCTTTTTCACCAGAGGATCCAGATTTCCCTGTGGCCTTGCAAACAAAAAAGAAGGAAGACGGAGCAGCACAGTCATCCCTTTGTGAAAAAAGCATTCAGGTAACTGAGTGACTCAGCAAGCCTGGGTCTTGGGGAAATTACGAATACCTGGTTGAAGGGCAGTCCTCAGGCAGAGCCCCTGAGACCCGTTGAACTCTAGAGTGTGGGAGCAGAGGAGATTCATGGCCTGCCCAGGGGCAGTGTCCACAGGGGCAGAGTGCCCCCAGGACTCGCCCTGGCTCAGTTAAGGACTCCCCTCAGGAACTGCAGAGGTGCAAGGCAGGGTGCAGCTCTGCCTGGACTGAGCTGGAAATGCAGCCGTGTGGCTGAAGTGGCCACTTCCTGCTTTCTGTAAAGCAGCCACAGGGAACTGTGAACAGGTAAGACCCTTACTCTTGATTACTGAAGAACTAGAACCCAGGCTCCCTTGACCTTCTCTCCAAAAACCCAGATGACACGAGGACCCTCTCCCAGCTAAAGGGGCAGATTCATGCTTTAGAGTGTGGGGAGTCAGTGTGGGGGCACGTGAGTGTTTAGCTTAGGTGTGGGCCTCACAAAAGAGTCAAAACAAGTCAGCCAGGACTCCAGCAGCCTTCATTGTGTGAGAGATGCCAGCACTGTGGCCACAGCCTGACAGCTGCGCAGGCCACATAATGTGTGGGGCCGAGTGGAAAACGTGGGTTTTTTTTTGCTGTTGTTGTTCAAAATCATGAGCTTCCAGGGGCGGCAGCAGAGCTTTAAACTACTCTGGGGCCCTTCTGAGCACAGGACTTGGTATGACTGCACAGGGATACCTGGCAGGCCAAGTGCAGGGACAGAGCGGTCTGCCCAGAGGCCAGCAGGTCCCCAGTCAGTGTCTGGCACCAGCTCCCTTCATGACCTGGGCTGGCTCAGTTCCACGGGACTCCCAAGGCTGGAGGCTTCCCTGGAACATCATCCTCAGGGATTTCCCAACAGGAGCAGCCTCTGGCTTCAGATCTGTCCTTGTTTGACTCATAAATTATCACTCAGACTGAGAAAATTAACACTCAGTGATTCCTGAAAGGGTGCCCAGTGCAAAAGATAATTTTCAAAGTGAGTTCATCGGGGGATTTAATAGCCAGGCAATGTCCATTAAAACAGCGACAAACATGGGGAGAAAAGGAAAAGTTCCAACTGGAAACTCATGCTGGCTTGACAGTTGTTCTCAGGGAGCAGAACAGAAGTGGGCATTTTCATTCTGGTTACACCATCAGCGATACCTCCACGGAGCCTCTCAGCTGGTTCCTCCTGGGTCTGGGCCACAGGCCTCCCAGTATTGCCTGTCTCGGAAGACATCTGTGGGCAGGTTCTGTAGAGGGAATCTGAGGCTGTGTGGGATGAGCTGCAGGACCCCATGTGGGGAAAGGCAGGAGGCAGCACCAGCTCCTTCACCAGGACCTGAGGGTACTGTGGCTCATCAGGGGCCATCGAGGACATGGAGACCCTGCACAGTGTTTGAGGAGTCCTGCTACATCAGTTTATTCTGGTTTAGGTGGTTGAGGGGAGACTCAGTGAAGTCTTGGGGGTTCAGAGCTACACTGCCAGCCTCTGGGACAGCAGCCCCAGTGTCCCCCGACCCAGGCCTTGCTCCTCCCTGCTGATGAACGCCCACTCTGCTCCCAGATGCACACCTGTCCTGAAGACACCCGGTTCTCATGCTCTTCTCTGCAGCACCTGAATTGGGCATTCCTGGGTAAAGCTGTTTAAGTTACTTTCACTTTTATCCACTTGTTTCCGTTATTTCAACCATGCATGTCCCTTGTGTATGTAGGATAAAGGTGTCTAAGAATAAAGGTCCATGATTTAAAGTTTTTTCCTCTTCTTTCCCTGTCCTGACCACCTGATCATAAACTTGTAGAAATAAAGTGGATCTCATGTTGTGTATCTTTCGATGCATCTAGAGAGATGGTTATATTCATATAAATAAACGGGCACATCCAGCACACTATTTCTAGTTGTCGTCTGCTAATAAGTTTACATCTGGTAAATGCCAGTGTTTCATCAAATGGCTGCATTGCACATGAGTCAATCTGTGTGACAAAGAATATGGCAGGTTTTGTACAGCCTTTGTAAAGACATTCTTCAATGCTGCCTTTTAAAATAGAAATGTTAAATCCTGTAACTAATCAACCTATGCCTTGTTAGAGGGCTGACATTTTCAATAATTCCTTTACAAAGGGTAGTGAGATGCATCAGATCCCCCAGTGGCCCCCAAGTAGGGACAGTGACAGTCAGCAGTTCTTTACGGACACCTGCTCCGTGGCAGGTTCTCCGCCGGCCCTGGCTGCGGGCGGCCCTCATCTAACAAGATGCTTCGGTCCATGGGTGGAGGACAAAGGCCTATGGGCTTGGGGAGCGAGTTCTTTCGTCTCCTACATGACCTTCATCTGCTCGCGTTTGCCATGAAGCGCATCTGGGTTGGAAGGAGATGGTGGTTTCCCACGGAAGTCTGGTCCCTAAGTGACGCCTCTGCTGCCTACATCAGAATCTCCCAGGCTTGCTCCACAGTGGTCCCGTCACGTGGTGCAGACTCAGGCGCTGTCTTGTGTGTGCAGAGGCAGGCTTGGTCTTGTGTGCTCTTGATCATGCACCTAGTCACATCTGTTCTACAGTGTTGCATTCTTCTAATTTCCATGCACATCTTTGCATAGGCGTGTTCCCATTGTTCCCATGCCAATAAGTGGTGTGCAAGGTTCCAGAGTGCGCCAGTATTTCTTTAGTCGGTGTCATGCTGTTGGATATTCAGGTTTTTTAACCTAGTGTAAATAACATTCACATTTCTAAAAACCAGAAGAGTGTTTGTGATTAAGATATCATCTTAGTGGATATTAAATTGCTGCATCTGATTTCATTTCTCTTTCCCAAATAGTCAGTTGTGTGGGCTAGTCTCATTCTGAAACTGCACACTCCCATCCCAGAGGTAGAAAGCGAGATCTCCTGCCTGCATTTCATGGAGCATGTGATTATGGAGGTGTCCAGTCCCAGCAAACAGACCCCACATTCTTTTCCTTCAGTGACTCAGACGCAATATGTGGAGAGTCCCAGACAGTATCGCTCCCTCATGTTCATTAACCTCCAGAGATTAAACATCACCTGATACACAGAACTGTGGGTTCCCCGTTTGGCTAAGCATCAGGTGCAGCCAGGTTCTTACCTAGGTGCACGTGACAAGGTGCTGCCAGATGCCACCAGCGCAGACAGTCAGTGAGCCCACCTCATCAGAGGGCACATGAGATCCCCAAATGAGAAAGAACTCTAAGGAGCCAAAATCTGCCAAGATGGGTACATTAAAGCTTGCAACTTTGCACGTGAGTGCACCCTCAGACTCAGCCAGTTTATTCTCCTTTGCAGTCCATTCTGAAAAGTCCAGCCAGATGATGGCTAAAGAGTAGAGAATGGAAGGTGGAAGGCGGTTGCTGCTTGCAGAAGAGGCACGCTGGCAGCATTGGCAGGGAGGAGGAGACTGGAAACTGAGTAGCAGATCCGAGAAACCAAAATGCTCAGCAAATGAGGGCAGGTGGCATGGAGCTACTTCCCTGGGTCCAAGAGCCTAATTACGTTATTGTTCCATAAGTTCATGGCCTGCGGTCATCAGGGAAAATAAAACACTGACTAGGGGTCGGTCTTTTCTGTTTAGAGGAGGCTCCCTGAAACCTCCCCCTCCCGGGTTCAAGCGATTCTCCTGCCTTAGCCTCCCGAGTAGCTGGAACTATAGGCGCCCGCCACCACTCCCGGCTAATTTTTTTTTGTTTTTTTGTTTTTTGTAGAGACGGGGTTTCACCGTGTTAGCCAGGATGGTCTCGATCTCCTGACCTCGCGATCCGCCCGCCTCGGCCTCCCAAAGTGCTGGGATTACAGGCGTGAGCCACCGCGCCCGGCCTCAGCTGGTTTTTCAAAAGTCATGGCGTGTAATTGTCAGAACAGTGAACTTCGGAGATCCACCGGAGGGGCGAGGCCACAGCTCGACCGCGAGCACCTGAGCATCCTGCACCGCCTGCGACGGCCGTCAGGGGGCGCGATGCCGCCTCACAGAACCTCAAGCGGCGCCCGGGTTCCGGCACAGACGGCCTGCGGCTCCAGGGGGCGGAGCCGAGCCGTCTCCTCAGGACCTACGCAAGAGGCGCCGTCATCCCTACAGGGACACCTGAGAGGGCCCAGCCTCCTCCTCCTCAGGACCCACTCGGGAGACGCCGCTGGCTCTCTAGGAACACCTGGGGACCGTGGCCAGGGACGACCCAGCCTCCTTCTCCTCAGCTCCTCAGGAACGACTGGGGAAGCTGTGGCTTCATGGTCCCCGAGGCTGCCCGAGGAAAGGTGAGGAAAAAGCTTTCTGTCCCGGCTCAGTGCGGAGGAGGCCGCGCTGCCTCGCGCTCCACTTTCTCAAGTTGTATTTATTTTATTTTACAAAGTGGCCCATCATTAAGTGGCTTTGTTATTCATTATTACAGCATACCTGAGTTGTTTCATTTTTTAATTTTTGACCAATTTGGGTTTGTTTGGGGTGGATCCGGGACAGAGAAGGGAGAAACCCTGAGGGCAACATGGAGAGCCCCAGGGAGACGCGCACCCCACGACTTGCTTTTATTTGCGTTCCAGTGGCTCGTTTTTCTTAGAGTGTTAAAGTACTTGAAAAATATTGAAGAGCAGATGTAGATGTGAGTTTTCACAACCGTGTTTTAAGTGTAAATACTGGACTTTGTCTGTTAAAAGGATTTTAGGTAAAATAAATTTAAGCGGAGTTTATTTCGGCAAAGGAATGGTTCATGAATCACGCGGGAAGCACCAGAACGGAAATCGGCTTGGGGCTTCGAGCTCTTAGGGTGGCCCCTAAGTGAGGCTCCTCAGTGGCTCCAGCTAGGCCACCGCCTGTTGTGGGGATGGTTCCCTCAGCGTCCCTAGTCATACAGCCAACTGGCTGCTGGGCTTTTTGGCATTGACTGTGGTTGGTTTGTTAATTTTTTTAAGTCAGTTCAAATGCCTCCAAGTTCGGTTTCTGTTTGCTTAGGGAAGGCCTCAGGCTAACCCCCGCCGTATTTGCTTTAACATGTCAAAACCATAATTTATTTTTCATTTTACTTTCCTGGCATTAATAGAAGTAAATTCACATTTGTGTGTTATTCAGAAAGTCGGTTTAATTGGCAACCTATTTGTGATGGTGCATAAAGTAATGTCTTTTAATCATTGGCATCTTAGATTAGATGAAATATGTTAACTCTCTTAAGCTTCGTTATTAACCCATAACAAGAGTTAAGTTTCTTTTTTTCTCCTAGGCTTTGACCATTTAAAATACACTCAGGCATCTCGTAACGATGTTATACTTTCTGAGAAATCTGTCCTTAGGTGATTTCATCTTTGTGTGAACACTGTAGAGTGTCCTTATAAAACTTAGATGGTGTAGCCCACTCCACACCTAAGTTACATAGTATAGCCTATTGCTCCCAGGCTACGAACCTGTACAGCATGTCTCTGTACTGAATGCTGTAGTCAACCATAACACCATGGTGATTGTAGATTGTGATCCCAGAATATCTGAGACAGGTCTCAGTCAATTTAGAAAGCTTATTTTGCCAAGATTAAGGACACGCCCATGACACAGCCTCAGGAGGTCCTGACGACGTGTGTCCAAGGTGGCCAGGGTAGAGCTTGCTTTTGTACATTTTAGGGATACATGAGACGTGTAAGATGTACAGTCATTTGGCCCAGTAAGGCGGGACAACTGGAAGCAGGAAGTGGGGGTGCTTCCAGGTCAGAAGTAGGTTAGAGACAAAAGGTTGCATTCTTTTGAATCCTTCATCAGCCTTCCACTGAATACACAATTTAGTCTGGCTCAATGAATCTGCATTTTTACATAAATAATAGGGCAGAGGAAGCAATCAGATATGCATCTGTCTCAGGTGAGGGATGACTTTGAGTGCTGTCTGTCCTTTGTCCAAAAGGAAATTCTTTGTGGGCAAATTGTGAGTGAGGTATGTAGCTTTTTATCTTTGTAGCTATCTTAGGAATAGAATGAGGGCAGGTTTGCCTGACATAGCTCCCAGCTTGACTTTTCCCTTGGCTTAGTGATTTGGGGGTCCTGAGATTTATTTTCCTTTCATGGTATCAGAACAGAGAAAAGGTAATGCGTTGAGCCATGAGCTTATGACAAGATGGCTAGGAAGGAATTTTTCAGCTCCATTTTTATCTCATGGGACCACCATCGTATGTATGCAATGCACGAGTGTAAAATCACATTTAGTTAAGTCAGCTTACACTAAGCTATGGACCCAGATGGTCCTGGGGCCTTTTTCCACTGGGAGATCTTTAAGGACCTTTCTTAGCTTTTCTATGCTAATTGGTATATTCATAGTTGCCTTATTTCAGTGCCCATTTTGTTAATGTGTATTTTTACTAGGAAATCACCCATTTTTTCTAGGTTTCCAGTTTGATGCAATTATTTGACTTTTAATTTCTCCTCTGTTTTTAGTTTTGTACATAATTTTCCTATCTACTTTTGCACTCTTTTTTCCATCAACAATGTTTTTAAAATATACTTTTTAGCTTTTTTTGAAGAATTGTTATGTTTGACAATTTTTTATGACCTAATCATGACCGTAAATGATTTTTAATTAATTTCAGCTTAATGTCTTTTGTAGGGCACAACTGTTAAAATACAAAATTACAACAAATGTGGGTTTGCAGATCTTAATTGGCTTTTTTTGTGGTTCTAGAATCAGGCAGCAGTCCAGACCAAAAATGGTTCAGAATGATCTGCCACACAACATGTGCGGGTTATATTTATAGCCAGAGAAAAAAAGTGACATACAGAAAACAGAAGTGAGGTATAGAGGTGGCTGGATTGGTTACAGACCTGGTTACAGCCCGGATTTGCCTTCTTGGAACTTGTTTTGAACAGCTGGCTGCCGGCCATTGACTGACACTCGGCTGATGTGATTGGCTGAACCGCCGCTATTTGTTACCATGATACATTCCCAAGTCAGATTTACAGTTTGTTTCTATACTAAATTAGGTTGCGATTCTTCTTGTTCTTCTTCTTTTTTCTTTTTTGAGGCGGAGTCTCGCTCTGTCGCCCAGGCTGGAGTGCAGTGGCGCGATCTCAGCTCACAGCAAGCTCCGCCTCCCGGGTTCATGCCATTCTCCTGTCCCGGCCTCCCGAGTAGCTGGGACTGCAGGCTGCCGCCACCAAATCCGGCTAATTTTTTTGTATTTTTTTTTAGTAGAGACTGGGTTTCACCTTGTAAGCCATGATGGTCTCGATTTCCTGACCTCATGATCCACCCGTCTCGGCCTCCCAAAGTGCCGGGATTACAGGCGTGAGCCACGGCGCCCGGCCGCGACTCTTTACAAGGACTCCTTGGGAGGCTTCTAGAGCCCAAATGTTGTTTGATGTAAGAATTCCTCCCTTTTGGTCAGCCTCTCAATTTTGAGATATTGATCAAAACTTTGGGCATTGGTGTCACTCTTTGTTATCGTTGTAAATTGAGTTATTAGTACTTATTTGCTTTCAGTGTGGCATTTTCAAGTTTTATTTGGTCTCAGTGCCCTCTGGGCAATAGCAGAACACTGTGTTGTGTAAGGCGGAAATAGAGCAATAGAAAATAACAACTGATTTGTTAACATCAGATTACTTCAAGTTACTTGTTTTGGTAAGAATTAAAGCAGAGGGGACTTCTTTATGCTGACTCAGGTAGACTGGAATCTCTTCAGGGAAAAAGGGAGCTCTTTTGGGATCTGTCTACTTCCTTAAAGTTTCAGCTTCGTTGTGTGTCATTCAGCGTGAGTGTCTCCATTCTGGTTTTGCCTGCTCAGTGTGGCCTAATGCGGGAGTGGTGACCGAAACAATGACCTCCCGTAGTTTGTTCCACAGTTCTCCCCTTTTGGTTGGGTTCCTGCCTAGGTGAGGGTGTGACTAAAACCTTAGGGCATTAGCAGTATTCTCAGTAACTATCATTTTAGGGTTCCGGTCTTAGGGCATTAGCACTATTCTCAGTAACTATCATTTTAGGTTTCCGGTCTTAGGGCATTAGCACTATTCTCAGTAACTATCATTTTAGGTTTCCGGTCTTAGGGCATTAGCACTATCCTCAGTAACTATCATTTTAGGGTTCCGGTCTCAACACGTCATTTAAGAAGTCAGTAAAGCTTTCTTCTATTGTGACAGCATATTTAATACTGAGAAGGAAAAGAAAATTTTTATCTTGCGAATGTGAGCTTCCTCTAAATTATCAGGTCCAGAGAGGCGTGGGAATGAGGCAGCAGTCACGTCCCATTTCCCGCTTAGCTAAGTAATCATATCTTGAAGCTGCTTGCTATGTAGACTAGACTGACTGTCATCAGCTATAGATTAACCTAAGAGTGTCTTTGAATATTTTTTCCAGTGGCAAATATTTGCTTCTTTTGTATCGTAGCTGAAAGGAATGCTGGGAAACAAAATAAAGGCAAGCATTCATTAGAATAAGTGATCCAGTCACAATGAATCAATTTGAACTTTTTTTTTTTTCGCAAAGTCATACTTTGAAAACGTCCAGCCGTAAATTGAAATAGTCTCCAAAATGTGAATTTTTTTCCCTGGTTCTAAGATGACCAGCTTTCTTAGAGAGTGAACTACACCATAAGGAAAATGATATGACCATGTTTACACATATATGTTATCTTAACATAAAACATGTAAAAGGGGCATTTCTTTGAAAGTATATATTAGTCTGTATAATTTACTTTGCAGTATCATGAATGCTCTTATTTTTAAAAGTAGGAGTAGTTACTGTCAATTACTAATTTTTAGTACAAATAATTTAGCAGATATCTGAAAAAATTACAATTTTTAAATAGAGGTTTTATTTTAAATTAGTTTTAGATTCATACAGAAATTGGGAAGAAAATGCAGATTTCCCATGTAGACGCAACCTAGTTTCCCCGCTTTTTAACATACCAACATGTATCAGATAGGTTTAACATCTTTTTTTTTTTTTTTTTTTTTTCAGACAGAGTCTCAACCAGGCTGGACTGCAGTGGCGTGATCTCGGCTCACTGCAACCTCCGCCTCCCAGGTTCAAGCGATTCTCCTGCCTCAGCCTCCTGAGTAGCTGGTATTACAGGTGCCTGCCATCATGCCCGGCTAATTTTTGTATTTTTAGTAGAGATGAGGTTTCACCGCGTTGGCCAGGCTGGTCTTGAACTCCTGATCTCAGGTGATCCGCCTGCCTCAGCCTCCCAAAGTGCTGGGATTACAGGCATGAGCCACCACTCCTGACCAACATCTTACATCATTTCTTGTCATACTTAATGACTGGATATTACTATATTATTAAATAAGCTCACATCTTATTTGGTTTCCCTTAGTTCTGCCTTTTTCTCTCCCAGGATCCTATCTAGGATCCCATAGGACATTTAGTCATCATGTCAGGCTCTTCTTGGCTGTGACAATCTCTCAGACTTTACTTCTGAGGACCTGGAACAGTGTTAGGAGGATTGGTCAGGTATTGTGTAGAATGTCCTCCATTGTGGTTTACTTGGGGTTTTTCTCATAATCAGCCTGGGTTTAGGGGTTTGGGGGAAGCAGAGCAGATGTGTAGTGTGTCCACAAAAAGAGTCAAAGACTGTAAAATATTTTAAGAGATGTATTCTGAGCCAAATATGAGTGACCATGGCCCTTGACACAGCCCTCAGGAGACCCTGAGAACATGTGCCCAAGGTCGTTGGGGTGCAGGTTGGTTCTATACATTTTAGGGAGATAGGAGACATCAATCAAGTGTATTTAAGATATATATTGGTTCGGTCCAGGAAGGTGGGACAACCCAATGGATTAGGGTGGGGGGGGGGCTTCCAGGTTATAGGTACATTTAAAATTTTTCTGATTGGCAGTTTGTTGAAAGACTTACTATCAATAGAAAGGAGTGTCTGGGTTATGATAAGGGGTTATGGAGACCAAGGTTTTATCATGGAAATGAAGCTTCCAGGTAGCAGGCTTCAGAGAGAATAGATTGTAAATGTTTCTTATCAGATTTAAGGTTGTGTTGATGTTAAATGCTGATTGGCTTTTCCTGAATTCCAAAAGGGAGGAGGGCATAATGAGGCATGTCTGACCACCTCTTTCCCATCATAGCCTGAACCAGTCTTCCAGGTTAACTTTGGTGTCCCCTGGTGGAGAGGTGGTTGGGGGAAAGATCTTTGAATTTTATTTTTGGTTTGCAAGTGCTAGTCTAGTCACTTCATGCTCTCAAGATGTGTTATCACCATTAATGTTAACTTTTATCACTTGGTTGAGGCAGTGTTTTCAGGTTTTTCACTGTAAAGTTACTTTTTTCCCATGTCTATATTGTATGTATGCTTTTGGAGGAAGTCATCATGCAGAGCTCATACTTAAAGGAGTGGGGAGTTAGCCCCACCTCCTTGATGGCTGTCTGTATCAGGTATTTGGAATTCTTCTGTATAAGAGATTTCTATTCAGCCCATTTGCATATCTGTTTAATCATTTATTTATACCAGTATGGGTCCACAGATAGTTACTTTAATCTTTTGGTTGTTATCTAATTGTACAGTATTTTGTTGCTCTTTGTTCATACCTGTGGCCATTGGTAGCTCTTTCCACTGGCTCCTTTTACATAATTTCATGTTTTTTTTATAATTTATTTCTGTTACTTCAAAAGTACCCTGGCTCATATATTTTCTGTCCCAGTCCTAGTTTCAGCTATTTCTTCTAATAGCCCTGATTTCTTTTGTTAGAGAATGGTATGAAAAACTTACATCTGGCCACTAAATGTGGTCATTGCATCATGACACTTACAGCTGACAGTGCAAAGAAATATATGTGTGTCTTCTAACTTATATGTACCCACTTAATTATAAAGGTTTCTATGTGGAACCATCTATGTATATGTTAAGCTAAATGTGAGTTTATACTTACGTTGTATATATACATTCTGACTCATTATGACAGAGATCATTCTAGGCTTCCCTATTTTTTATCTGTAACTTCTCACTGTAATAATGAGGAACCTGGCTCCTACTATCTGCCATTTATTTCATCCCTTGTACCATTGGGAACAAGGAATTC